>NC_000020.11:5672395-5823910 GCF_000001405.40 Homo sapiens | reverse complement strand
GTGGAGGAGGTGGTGAGACATTACTCTATTTGGAACACATTCTAGAGGTGGCCTATGGGGACAGATGCAGGCAGTGGAGGAAGCTTGCCCATGCAACCCAGGATGGCTTTGAATGCAGCCCAACACAACTGTGTAAACTTTCTTAGAACATTATGAGATTTTTGGCTGGGCGCGGTGACTCATGCCTGTAATCCCAACAGTGTGGGAGGCTGAGGTGGGCAGATCACTTGAGGACAGGAGTTCGAGACCAGCCTGGCCAACATGGTGAAACCCTGTCTCTACTAAAAATACAAAAATTAACTGGGTGTGGTGGCGGGCGCCTGTAATCCCAGCTACTAGGAAGGCTGAGGCAGGAAAATTGCTTGAACCCAGGAGGCAGAGGTTATAGTGAGCTGAGATCGCGTCATTACACTCCGGCCTGGTGACAACAGCAAAACTCCATCTCAAAAAAAAAAAAACAAAAAACAACAAAAAACAAGTCTATGCTAGACCAGGCACTATGACTCATGCCTTTGGGAAGCCGAGTCAGGTGGATCACTTGAGGTCAGGAGTTTGAGACCAATCTGGCCAACATGCCAAAATCCTGTCTCTACAAAAAAATACAAAAGGGACTGAAGGCAGAGGGGTGGAGGGAAGAGGCCTGAGGCCTGAGGTCAGTAAGAAGTGCCTTGAAGAGCCAGCAGAGGAGGATGAGAAACAGCAGCCAGTGAGGGCAGGAGGAGAAGCTGAGGGAGGGGTCCCAGGAGCCAAGGGAAGAACAGGTATCCGGGAAGGGGGGGATCAACAGTGTAAAACGCTGCTGCTTGGTCAAATACAAAGGACTGGGAACCGACCACTGGATTTGGAAGGACAAAAGACACCACAGTTCCATAACAATAGCAGTGGTGGAGTATATATGGGGGTGGGGGCGGGGTGGGGGAGGGAAGGCAAAAGTGTGACTGGAGTGGGTTGGAGAGAAATCGGGAAGGTAAGAGGTGGAGAGAGTGAGTATAGACAAATAAGACACATCTTTCATAGCCTTCTGCTATAAAAAGGAACAGAGAAACAGGGCAGGACCTAAAGAGGAACCTGGGGTCATGGATTTTTTTTTTTAGATGGGAAATATTACATCATCTTTGTATGTAGCCAAGAATGAGCCAGTCAAGAGAGAAAGATTGATAATGCAGGAGTGAGGGGTTAACGGTGGGTGTGAAGTCCATGACTAGGAGAGAGGAGATGAAGATTAAGTGGAGGGGCTGGCCTTAAGCAGGGCATAAACAACTCACCCACTGTAACAGTCTTCTTGGTGGCTGCTCCCTGCTTCTCAGGTACGATAAGGAACCACACAATTTGTCTCACTGCTGGGACTTAGGGACACAAGCACACACACTCACACACATGCACACAACAAAGCAACACAGCTCTGAGCACTCACTTTATTCATTTATTTATTTTTAATTAATTAATTTTTTTGAGATAGAGTCTCACTCTGTAGCCCAGGCTGGAGTGCAGTGGTGCGATCTTGGTTCACTGCAGCCTCTGCCTCCCAGGTTCAAGTGATTCTCCTGCCTCAGCCTCCCAAGTAGCTGGCACTACAGGCACCCGTCACCACGCCCGGCTAATTTTCTGTATTTTTAGTAGAGATGGGGTTTCATCGTGTTGGCTGGGCTGGTGTCAAACTCCTGACCTCAGGTGATCTGCCCGCCTTGGGCTCCCAAAGTGCTGGGATTACAGGCATGAGCCACCATGCCTGGCTTTGAGCACTTACTTTAAATCTCTCAAGAAAATTAAATTAAATGAACAACTGAAGCAGTAAATGTTAGTTCACCTGAGTCAACACAAAGAACTTTTAGTTAATAAACTTTGCCTGGCCAGTCACCTATGAGGTAGCCAGCATCCAGGATGGCTCCTCACCTCCTAGCACTCACACCCTCAGGTGGTCCCCTTGCATGTGGTCCCAGGGTTGGTCTGTATGACTGTCGAGTGCAGCAGAGGAGATGGCCCATCATGTCTGAGATGAGATCATGAAAGACTCCAGGGCTTCTGTTTGGCTGTCTCCCTCTCTCACGACTCACTGTGGGGAAGCTGACTGCCACAGTTCAAGGACACTCAGCAGCCCTGGGAGAGGCCCATGTGGAGAAAAACTGAAAACTCCAGCCAAGCATCCGGTGGCAGTCTTCTCTGAAGCAGCTCTTCCAGCTCCAGGGAAGGTTTCACTTGGCGGCCACCTCATGACAGACCCTGAGCCAGAACTACCCTATTAAGCCCCTCCTGGATTTCTGATCCTCAGAAACTCTGATATGATCGATGTTTGAGTTTTCCAGAAATTTGTTATTACTCCCAGCTGATAACTAAATTCCCTATCCCTCAATATCCAGTATACTATAATCAAGTTTTTTTGTTTTGTTTTGTTTTGTTTTGAGATAGAGTCATGCTCTGTCACCCAGGCTGGAGTGCAGTGGTGTGATCTCAGCTCACTGCAACCTCCGCCTCCTGGTTCAAGCGATTCTCGTGCCTCAACCTCCTGAGCAGCTGGGATTATAGGTGCACACCACCACGCCCGGCTGATTTTTGTATTTTTAGTAGAAACGGGGTTTCACCATGTTGGCCAGTCTGGTCTCGAACTCCTGACCTCAGGTGATCCGCCCACCTCAGCCTCCCAAAGTGCTGGGATTATAGGCGTGAGCCACCACCACGCCCAGCCTTAATAAGTTTAAACAAACTATATTTTACAGGCTAAAAAAATGTTGGTCACAGACTTCCAGGCAATTTTTAAAGCCCCATGTTTAATATATTTGTCATTGATGGATCTATAAATTTTTATTTTCTCAGTTGATTAAGCACAGATATTAAAAGATTTTCCACAGGACTAGAAGTTGCTGCCTTAACATCCAATACTTAAGCAAACCGTGGATATCAAAGAAGGACTGGGAAGCTCTTTATTTTATGGGACTTTAGGGGAACTGCCTTCCCAGCAGGCTCTTCCTGAGCAGTCTGCTGGAAATTCTTTGTGTAGCTCTAAGACAGCCTAGATCTAGGACAATATATCAGGTTTTTAGGTAACAGCCTGGTTGGCTTTGTCATCCCTGGTCTCTTTCTCCAGAACACTGTAAATCAAAGGCCCAAGCTAAAGCTTGTACATCAAACCTAGAGACAAAAAGGAGAAAAGATCAAAGGAGACATAAATAAAACTTTTCCCTGTGAGACAGTATGGCAGCAGGCTAGGCCATCATTTAATATCAGTCTGAAATAATATTTTCCCTTCTTCACTTTGTGAACTTTGCCTGGTCTTTCACAACTATCCTTTTTTAAACCTTCTCATGTCAAACAACTCTGAGTTTGCCTGGTGAAAATGTCACTGTGGAAGAATTTCTTTTAATCTGAACATCTTGGAGGCTGGTTTCTTGGGTGTTCTATCACTGGGTGGTGAACTTCAAGAGGGCAGACACTGCCTTTAATTCACACTTCATCCCCAGGGGCTAGCACAGTGTCCAGCACATAGCAGCTGCTCATTGAATTTTTGCTGAATAAAGGCACTGAATTTGCTTTCCGTCTCTGAAGATCTACCAAATACTCTTTTGTATCCGTTGAGTATCCGTTGAGTGTTTATTGGCGTAGCATGGTGCAGGGAACCATCAGGGACATGAAGCTGAATGTGACATATATTTGAAGCATTTAATAAGACTGGCTGGGCATGGTGGCTCACGCCTATAATCCCAGCACTTTGGGAGGCCGAGGTGGGCGGATCACCTGAGGTCAGGAGACAAGCCTGGACAACCAACATGGTGAAACCTTGTCTCTACTAAAAATAGAAAAATCAGCCAGGCATGGTGGCACACGCCTGTAATCCCAGCTACTGGGGAGGCTGAGGCGGGATAATCACTTGAACCCAGGAGATGGAGGTTGCAGTGAGCTGAGATCACAGCACTGCACTCCAGCCTGTCTGGGCGACAGAGCAAGACTCCTTCTAAAAACAAAACAAAAAACAAAAAAAAAACACTGTCAAGTCCTCATTATGTATCCACCAGAACTCAGTAATTTTTTAGGCACAACACAAAGGTGTGGCTGTCTTAGCAAGTTACATGATGATTTTATTGTTGTTGTTTTTAAGAGACTGGGTCTCACGCTGTCATTCAGGCTGGAGTGCAGTTGCACCATCATGGCTCACTGCAGCCCTGGCTTCCTGGGCTCAAGCCATCCTCCTGCCTCAACCTCCCAAGTAGCTAGGACTAAAGGTGTACTCCACCATGCCTGGCTAATTTTTTTATTTTTTGTAGAAACAGGGTCTTGCTGTGTTGCCCAGGCTGGTCTCGAACTCCTGACCTCAAAGGATCCTCCTGTCTCAGCCTCCCAAAGTGCTGGGATTACAGATGTGAACCACCATGACTGGCCTACATGATGTTTTAATATGACAACAGCCAACATGACAATAGTCGGTGTTGTTCCTACAGTGCATGAAATCAGTAAGCATTCATTGAGTACTTCTTATATGTGATGAAAGTGAAGCAATTACAAAGGCAAACATTACAGTTAATAAGCAAAGTTTGGAATGAGAAATAACAGATAAGGGTAAGAGTGTGGTCACACCAGATCAATCTGGTTCAACTTTTACGTAACAAAGTTGTGAGTTGTTTTTCAGTTGTCACGGACCCTCAGGTCTCATAACCTGAGCATGCCCAGATGAACCAAGCATGCAACCATGCTTAGTTCCACTAGGGGGAACCTAAGTGCTCAGACCGAGGAGTGGGACTGAATTAAGAAGTAGACACTGGCGGGGCACGGTGGCTCACACTTGTAATCCCAGCACTTTGGGAGGCTGAGGCGGGCAGATCACTTGAGGTCAGGGGTTCAAGACCAGCCTGGCCAACATGGAGAAACCTGTTTCTACTAAAAACACAAAAATCAGCTGGGTGTGATGGCGCACACCTGTAGTCCCAGCTACTTGGGAGGCTGAGGCCCAAGAATTGCTTGAACCCAGGAGGCAGAGGTTGCAGTGAGCTGAGATCATGCCACTGCACTCCAGCCTGGACAATGGAGCAAGACTCCATCTCAACAAAACAAAACAAAACAGAAGTGGACACTGCATGGCAGGATCCAGGATCCAATCAGATTGAGCCCTGGAGTCACCCCATGGTGGATTCCAGTTAGATCATGACCCCCAACATCATCGCCTTATTGTAAGATCCAATCAATCACCTCATTCCAAGATCAATCCAGTCACCTCATTCACGCCTCATTACCATATGCTTATAAACCTCAACCCAGGCCCCCATTTGGGGAGACAAATTTGAGCATTTCCTCCTATCTCCTTGCAAGGACCAAGAGTTCCTGGATCATATGACCTACCTACCAACCAACCCAGTATGTGATTCCAACCCTCTTATTTCTTGGCAACTCTGCATTATTTAACCTATAAAATGGGTACAGGATCCCTGCCTTTACTTACTACAGAAAAATGTTACAAGACAAATCTAAGTGAACAGCCTCTGGCAATGGCAGAGTTAACTATACCAAATTTGCCCTTCTGCTATAAATGGCTATAAAACTGGACAAAATGGCCTGGTGCAGTGGCTCACGCCTGTAATCCCAGTATTTTGGGAGGCTGTGGCGGGTGGATCACTTAAGGTCAGGTGTTCTAGAGCAGCCTGGCCAACATGGTGAAACCCCATCTCTACTAAAAATACAAAACTTAGCCAGGCGTGGTGGCAGGTGTCTGTAATCCCAGCTACTTGGGAGGCTGAGGCAGGAGAATCGCTTGAACCTGGGAGGCAGAGGTTGCAGTGAGCCGAGATAGTGCTACTGCACTCCAACAGAGCAAGGCTGTCTCAAAAAAAATAAAAAAATAAAAAAAAGAAAGAAAAAGAAAAAAAGGAGAAAAAGAAAAGAAAACTGGACAAAAAACAACTGCTTTCAGATCCTGGTCACAGTTAGTATAGGACTTTGATCACTGAGAGAAGGGACGCAAGATGTGCCTACAATTGCCCCCAGTGTTCTGCTGGAGGCACTTCCTAGACCACAGCGCAGGGAAGGGGAATCCAAACAGAGCACAGCAATCTCACTGCCTCACAGCAGTTTCCTCAGCAAAGAGACAGAGATCAGTTTCAGGTGCCTGGAATTTCTGAAGCTGAGTCCTGGAGATGAGGGAGCTAAACAGATAAAGAGCTCCAGAAATCAGCATAGGGATTCTTTTGAGTATTTCACAGTGAACACTAAGTCATAATGCCAGGCACAGCCAGGGGAGCTGTGAGCTGAACAACTTCCAGAACTCACACAGGGCTGGGAGACATGCATGTTCTGACAGCCAGAGTGAGATGACTGTTGAATACCTGGGATATTCAGTACAGACCCAGAAAGGCTAAACCTTGGTAGCAAGCTAAACTAGCTACAGAGTACAGGCTATTCAAAAAATCTCCCTAGTGAGTTTAGGCTGGATGCAGTGGCTCACGCCTGTAATCCCAACACACACACACACACACACACACACACACACACACACACAGAGAGAGAGAGAGAGAGAGAGAGAGAGAGAGAGAGAGAAAATATCCCGTGAGCTTAAAAACAAGTCTTGAAAGGATCAAGTTGATAAGCAAGTAATTTAACTGCCTGCCATAACAAACTTTGATACTTTTTATAAAAAGGCAGCAAAATACAGACACTCTACAATGTAATATCACTAAGTCCAGCATCTCATAATTACTAGACATGGGAAGAAGCAGGAAAATATTACCTATAATCAGGAGAAAAATCAGTCAACAGAAACAGATCTTGAAATGATAAAGATGATGGAATTAACAAACAAGGACGTGAAAGCAGCTAATATTATAAATATCCTCAAGGTTTTATTTTCATTTTATTTATTTATTGAGATAGGGTCTCACTTTGTCACCCAGGCTGGAGTGCAGTGGCACAATCTCGGCTCACTGTAGCCTCCATCACCTGAGCTCAAGTGATCCTCTTGCCTCAGCCCCCAAGATAACTGGGGCTACAGGCAGGCACCACCACGCCCAGCTATTTATTGGTATTTTTTGTAGAGACAGGGTTGCCATGTAGCCCAGGCTGGTCTTGAACTCCTGAGCTCAAGTGAACCACCCGCCTCGGCCTCCCAAAGTGCTGAGATTACAGGTGTGAGCTACTGCGCCCAGCCTATCCTCAGGGTCTTAAAGGAAAACATAATGTATGACAAATAGGAATATCTGTGATAGTTTTTAAACTGGTCCTTTTATACTGTCAGGCATTTTAATCATAATATTAGTTCTTGAGTAGAATGCAGAATCACAGAAAAAATATGAACTGGAAACAAATCAGGAGAGCAACTTCCAGTTCTCGTCCTGCCACTATTTCGCTATGGTCCTCAGATTTTCACTTGCATTTTCCAAAGCTCAGTTTCCTCATCTGTGAAATGTAGATATTGCCCTCAACAATCTTCCTTTTTAAGACTCACACTGCCCCTTGTTTACCCACAGACAGTGAATCTCTCATGCACCCAAATTTATTCATTCAGCATTTCAGTAGAAAGCAACCTTTTATTTTTCAAATCATTGTTGGCAAACCCCGAATATACGCAGTAGAACTTTACTATTTCTGAAGGGGAATCTTCAGTGACTCTTGGTTCTCTCTGTCCTGGCAATCTTTACTTAAAATAAAAAAAATGTCATTCAAGGAAAATGTGTCTTTTTGGAACTACATTTACAATAAAATCACAAAATAATTTTTAAAAAATATAGAGTTGAAATTTTAAAATAATATTTACATTTGCAGTTAATTTTATGACCAACAATTCATGGGCTGTGTATTCTACCAGTTTATGCCATTTCTTTTTCTTTCTTTTTTTTTTTTTTTTTTCGTTTTTTTGAGGCAGAGTCTCACTCTGTCACCCAGACTGGAGTGCAGTGGTGTGATCTCAGCTCACTGCAACCTCTGTCTCCTGGGTTCAAGTGATTCTCATGCCTCAACCTCTGGAGTAGCTGGAATTACAGGCACACACCACCACACCTGGATAATTTTTGTATTTTCTGTAGAGACAGGATTTTGCCATGTTGGCCAGACTGCTCTCAAACTCCCGGCCTCAAGCAATCAGCCCATCATGGCCTCCCAAAGTGCTGGGATTACAGGCATGAGCCACTATACCCAGACCTCATTTCTTTTATATAAAAACAAATTCCTAAGTATGGGAATTCCTAAGACAAGAGGCTATAGGATCCAATAAAGTGGGATAATACTGAGAAGAGACTTTCAGTGGTTATGGGGAACCTTATGAAGATAGATCATGGGTTAGCAAACTTTTCCTGTATAGGGCCAGATAGTAAATATTTTAGGCTTTGTGGACCTTCAATGCCCAGTTACATCTTCTTCTTTTTAAAAATAATCATTTTAAAATGTGAAAGTCATTATTAGCTTGCAGGCTGTACAAAAACAGGCATAGGGTCAGAATTGGTCCACAGGCCAGAGGCTGCTGACTCCTGCTCTATGGTCTTATTTACACATCATTGGCCTCCACCTCACACTTTACTGAATTAGAATCTGTATTTTAATAGGATCCCTGGGTGGTTAATAGTCACATTACATTTTGAGAAGCACTGCTCTAAGGCAGTGGTTTTTCAGCGTGGCTGCATATTAGAAGCACTTGAGCTTTTACAAAATCCTGATTCCCAGGCTGCCCTATATACCAATTAAATCAGAGCTTCTGGAGATGAGTCCCGGGCATCAAGATCATTAAAACTTGCAGTTGATGCCGATGTGCAGACAAGGCTGAGCACAGTGGTTCAAGGGGCTCATTTAATGCAATCCAACAAGCGTATCTGCTCAGGAGAGAAAAAAGCTCAATTCTCCCCCAGGGCCGCTGTCTCGCAGGCATGAATGGCTTCTGGAACCACAGAAACCCCCAAGGAACATAAGTGATGAAAAAGAACACTGGAGCAAATTCTGGATGTTTCCTTCCAATCCTCTGGTGTTGTGTGTCATTAGAAAAAGTAATTTTGGGGCCGGGCGCAGTGGTTCATGACTGTAATCCCAGCAATTTGGGAGGCCAAGGTGGGCAGATCTCTTGAGCCCAGGAATTCGAGACCAGCCTGGGCAACATGATGAAACCCGTCTCTACAAAAAATTAGTGGGTGTGGTGGCATGCGCCTGTGGTACCAGCTACTCAGGAGGCTGAGATGAGAGGATCACTTGAGCCTGGGAGGCAGAGGTTGCAGTGAGCTGAGGAAATTGCACCACTGCACTGCAGCCTGGGTGACAGAGTGAGACCCTATCTCAAAAAAAAAAAAAAAAAAAAAAAGAAGAAGAAAAAGAAAAAGTAATTTTGGAAATAAAGAACTTACTTGAAAGGATGTTAGCAATTTTACCTCAAAAGTTAAAATCTAGCTGAAAGTAGACAAGTCATTCATCTTTTTCAACTTTGGAATTATGTAAAAGAATTAATTCAATTCTATAGGGACTGTGCTCAGAAGAATTTTAAATTCTAGAACATTTAACAAAAAATATACAGATATTCCTAAATAAGCCACCACTGAGTGGTCAATATTTTTCTTTAAGATTCTTGGGTCCTATAAGACAATTTCACAGATGAAGCTTACTTTTGCCAGTGTAAGTAAATATTTAACACTTTCAAAGATGCTTCTTGGATTGATACCCAGGCAGCCATAAAGGAAAAGCAGTAATAATAGGTGTTTTGAGGGGTCGGGCGCGGTGGCTCATGCCTATAATCCCAGCACTTTGGGAGGCCAAGGTGGGTGGATCGCTTGAGCTCAGGAGTTCAAGACCAGCCTTGGCAACATGGAGAAACCCCATCTCTACAAAAAAAAATACAAAAATTAGCCGGGCATGGTGGCACACGCCTGTAGTCCCAGCCACTCTGGAGGCTGAGGTAGGAGAATCGCTTGAACCAGGGAGGCGGCGTTTGCAGTGAGCTGAGACTGTGCCACTGCACTCCAGCGTGGGAGACAGAGTGAGACCCTGTCTCAAAAAAAAAAAAAAAAAAAAAAAAAGAAAGAAAAGGAAAAAGGTGTTTGAGAAAAGCAGGCTTGTGTCTTAGTTTAAAAGCCACTTAATTCAGTTTTTTGTTTGTTTCATTTTTGCTCTATAAATGGAGGAAATAGTGCCATAAGTATGTTACTATTTCTCTTGCTCTTTTCCAATATTTGCATTTTCTCCTCTTCCACAGAAAGGTAATAGAAGAGGCACTTCATCAGAGAATTAAGTTTACAAGCAAAACAAAAATGTATTAATTTACTCCTTTAATACCAAAATTCTTCCAGACTCTACACACACATTGCCTTATCAGAGAAACCTATCCAGGCCATCATATTTTAATCACACCCTTCATCTCTAACACTGCTTTCCTTTCTTCACAGCAGCAGCTGTTACAGATTTCTTTTAGTGTCTATATACCCCTTCTGCCCCTTCCAACCATGATCCTAAGAACTAGAATTATTTATTTATTTAGAGACATAGTCTTGCTCTGTCACCCAAGCTGGAGTGCAGTGGCACAATCTCGGCTCACTGCACCTCCACCTCCTGGGTTCAAACAATTCTCCTGCCTCAGCCTCCCAAGTAGCTGGGACTACAGGCACGTGCCACCACGCCTCGCTATTTTTTTTGTATTTTTAGTAGAGACAGGGTTTCACCACGTTGGTCAGGCTGGTTTTGAACTCCTTAGCTCAGGTGATCCGCCTGCCTCGGCCTCCCAAAATGCTGGGATTACAGACGTGAGCCACAGCACCCAGCCAAAGAACTAGAATTTAAAAAGCCCTTTAAAGACCAGGCATGGTGACTCACGCCTGTAATCCCAGCACTTTGGGAGGTCGAGGCGAGTGGATCACTTGAGCCCAGAAGTTCTAGAGCAGCCGGGGCAACATGGTGAAACCCCACCTCTACTAAAAATAGAAAAAAATAGCCAGGCATGGTGGCACACACCTGTGGTCCCAGGTACTTAGGAGGCTGAGGTAGGAGTGTCACCTGAGCCTGGGAGGTTGAGGCTGTGGTAAGCCACGATTATATCACTGCACTCCAGCCTGGGTGACAGAGTGAGACCCCGTCTCAATAAAAAAATAAAAATAAAAATAAAAAGCCCCTTAAAGAGAGGGAGAGCCTTTGTCTATTTTGTTCACTGTGTATCCCCGACCCTAGGAACAGGGTCTGCAGCATAGTAGATACACAATAAGCATTTCGCTAATGACTGAAGGGACAACATTCACAACCCTGTAAAGAAGCTAGCCATCAGGGTTCAGGTAAACAATCTAACATAATACGGAGAAACAGAAAAGAACTCTGCATTTAGTGAGGCATAATACCTGGTGAAAGTAATACACATGGCAAAGCTACTTCTCATTCATGATGATTTATTTTATAAAGCAAAGACACAATTGTACTGAGCTCCTGAGGACTTCTGGCTCTGTTGTCTTACAAGAGGCCACTCGTTCACTTGTTCAAAAATTGTCGGAATTTTTAGAAATGGAAAGAAGGACTCTAAAGTTACATATATCAAAACCTCTAAGTGTCTGTTATTAATAATAGTTCTTACCATCTTCCAGTTGCCTGTTAAGCACTGAGCACAGTAATCAGTGCATTGTATACTGGATACATAGAAGTTTTCCAAGCAGTGGCCTATGGACTCATGCTAGGCCATGATGAAACCCTTACTAGTCCATGGATACGTGAGAAAAAAACACTAGGGACTACAGAAAACTGATCTTTATTTTGGGATTAGGTCCTTCTTTCATTTTGAATGTTAAAATATCCTTTCTTTTATGAAATGCTAATAGATTTGTGGAGATATTGGTATAGGTTGTTTTTAAGATTTTTGCTTGGCAAAATAAAAGGTCGGGTCCTCAAAAAAAAAAAGAAAAAAAAAGAAAAAAAAAAGAAAAAGAAAAAGAAGTTCCTAGACTAGGACTTACAGATACATATTATCCCACTTACCCTTCATAGCAATCCTATGAACTAAGTATTAGTAATCCCCATTTTACAGATGAGAAAATTAAGGCTTAAGAGAAAGTAACTCGCCTTGGGTTATACAGCCGGCAGTGGTGGAGATGGGGTTTAGTGCAGGTGTTCAAATTCATTTTTTTTTTTTTCAGAGACACAGTTTCACATTGTTGCCCAGGCTGGAGTGCAGTGGCATGGTCATGGCTCACTGCAGCCTCGACCTCCTGGGCTCAAGTGCTCCTCCCACCTCAGTCTCCCAAATAGTTGGGACCAAAGGTGTGCACCACCACACCTGGCTAATTTTTAAATTTTTTTGTAGAGACACAGTCTCACTATGTTCCCCAGGCTGGTCTTGAACTCCTGGGCTCAAGCAATCCTCCCTCCTTGGTCTCCCAAAGCACTGGTTTTACAGGCGTGAGCCACCATGCCCAGCCTCAGGTCTCCAGCTTGAAAACACATTTTTTTTTGTCTACCATTCTACTGCCAGAAGACACCAGTCTGGTCCTAATACACTTAATGTCAGAAATACATTATTTAGAGAACTGGAAGAGAAGGGAATTAAAAAGCTGTCCTTTTTAATTAAAACTCCTGAGGTTTGTGTCTATTTTGTGAGATTTCACCTTTCTGGGGGCATATGTTTTCTAATCTGATAAGTAAAGTTTCCACTCTCAGTTGCTGGCTGTGGCTCTCCTGTCCTATGACTTCGCTAGATCACAGAAGGAAGGTGCTCTCTCCAAGAATTAAGGGAGTCCTGGAAACATCTGTCTTGGAACTGTCACTTATGGAGTCATATGACCTGGGACATCTCTCTGAGCTGTGGCTTCTGGTACGTAATTTGGAGAGAATAAGCCTTTTCCTGCCTGGCTGCAGGATTACTATATGGATCAAATACTTGGCATCGATCACCCCTCAGTAAATGTCTGATCAAAAGTAGATGTATGAATGAACTAATGCTATATATTACTGTTGCTGGAAAATGAAGTGTCTTATGTGATATATTAGTATTAGGTCATCAGCACTTCTCAGCATTGGATGATCATACAGGACGATCTTAAAGCCAGGACATCTGCAGAGTTAACAAAAGATTATATAACAGAATTATCTTTTTTTTTTTTTTTTGAGACAGAGTCTCACTCTGGAGTGCAGTGGCATGACATCTGCTCACTGTAACCTCCACCTCCTGGGTTCAAGCGATTCTCCTGCCTCAGCCACCCAAGTAGCTGGGATGTAGTTACAGGCATGCACCACCATGCCTGGCTAACCTTTGTATTTTTTGTGGAGACATGGTTTCACCACGTTGGCCAGTCTGGTCTCAAAACTCTTGATCTCAAGTGATCTGCTTACCTCAGCCTCCCAAGGTGCTGGGATTATAGGCGTGAGCCATCATGCCAGGCCTACAGAAATACGTCTATTGGTAGGGGAAATAGAAAGAATCAATGGAACACCTGTATGTACCTACTGTTCATCCTTATCCCACTTAAAAAATATATGTGCAATGGCAGAGTAATGGAATATTTTAAGACTTAGAAAGACTCTAGGCAACTTAGGCAAATGCTCTCATTTCACAAAAGATAATTAAATGGCTCGGAAGGTCCCATAGCTAATTAGAGGCAATAATGAGATTAGAACACCTATCTCCTAATTGCCACCTAGCCTAATGCTAAGATCACTCTACCACAGTATCAGTCCCCTTAGTTACTCGATGTCTAAGGTGGTCCATTATTGAACAATACAATTTTTTTTTTTTTCCGAGACAGAGTCTTGCTTTGTCACCCAGGCTGGAGTGCAGTGGCACGATCTTGGCTCACTGCAACCTCCACCACCCGGGTTCAAGCAGTTCTCCTCCCTCAGCCTCCCAAGTAGCTGCGATTACAGGCGCGCAGCATCACGCCTGGCTAATTTTTGTATTTTTAGTAGAGATGGGGTTTCACCATGTTGGCCAGGCTGGTCTAGAACTCCTGACTTCATGATCTGCCTGCCTCGGCCTCCCAAAGTGCTGGGATTACAGGTGTGAGCCACTGCGCCTGGCCGAACAATCCAATTTTTGACAAAGGTGTAGTATGTGATAAACTAGATATGCCAGAAAACTGAAATAACAATGAGACCTCAGTATGTGACATCACTGTGTACAGCAGGGTTTCATACCCTCAGCGCTATCGGGCTAGATAATTCTTTGTTGGGTGGGGGAACTATTCTGTGCATTGCAGGATATTTAGAAGCATCCCTGGCCTCTCCCGACTATATGTCAGTAGCATCCTATGGCTTTAACAACCAAAAATGTCTCCAAACTCCACCAAATGTCCCCTGGTGGTGGCAGCACGGGGCAACGGCCACTGGTTGAGAACCAATGGTGTAGAGGAAATATTTAAGTTGTCTGTACAACTGAGGAAGGATGGATGCAGTTGTACAATGTGGGGTAAGAGTGGTTAGAAGATAATTCATCCAGCTAGAGCTGGAGCTGCTGAGCTTTGACTGTATTGGTTGTTTTTGGTGGCAGAGTGACAATAACCTCTGGAGCAAGCTGGACTACAGAACTGGGGACCCACTTCAGGGGAGGCAGCCGGCTTTTCCTTTCAGGATGCTGCTAATCAGACACTTGGCAGTAGGGTGTGACATAAGGGGAAATGAGGATTTAACTCTGAGCTCAGAGCAAATACATCTAATTCTAAGAGTCTATTTAAGGAGAGCCATATCTATGAATGCTGTCAAGATTCACTCTAAACCATAGTTAGTATTTGTTTCATGGAATTAAAATGAGTTTCTTATTTTTGTGCAAACATGTACGTTAAGATCCTTTCCACTATTTAGTCATACATTTAGTTCTTTGGTGATTTTTAAAAGCTGTCCTTTTCATCACTTATGAGCATGGTTTTAGAAAGAAAAATCCACCCCCAACATTTCTCACCTCCTCTTATGAGAAATTATTCTTTTTTAGTTCTACCTCTGGAAGTACATTCTCATGAGGTATGTGCCACAACTCTGTATCTGCCACTATGGCAACTCATAAAAAATGCCACCCCCTTAAATTCCTTCATGGCATATTAATTTGATGTTCTAAAACAAACACTTTACTGTGAATTAACTCCTAACCGATAATATTAACCCAACTAAACTGGCTTCTGTAACACTTTCACCATCTGTAAGAATGTTTCTTGTGCAAATAAAGGCGATCTTTTGTTACTTAGCCATTAAATTTCATTAAAATATTTTCTGCTTAAATCCACTAAATCACTAATATTCAAAATACAACAATATAGTTACCAAGTTTGACTCCATGAATGAGAATATTCATTCACCAAATGCATTAGATAAGCTGTGTAAGAGGAGATTCCCTGCAAGATTGTTTATGAGTAAAAACATGGGTCAATCTAAACATCCATCAATAGACATCTCGTTAAATAAACTATGATCCAATCATACAATGGGATACTATGCAGACAGTAAAAATATGAGAGAGCTACATGTACCAACATGGCAAGCTGCCTTATTATAGCAATAAGTGAAAAAAGGGCAAGATGCAAGATAATATTTTGGTAAAATTCCATTGGTATTTAGAAAAAAAGATATACGTGCTGTTTGTGTGTGTACAATATACACATGTACATATGTATGTATGTCTATCTATATTTATGTATATAGATCTGTAGGTGTGTATATGGAAGGATACACAAAAGTTATCTACAATAATTACTTCTGGGGAGAAGCATGAAGACCTAGGACTTTTACGTTTCTTTTTTTTTTGAGATGGAGTCTTGCTGGAGTGCAGTGGCGTGATCTTGACTCACTGCAACCTCTGTGTCCCAGGTTCAAGGGATTCTCCTGCCTCAGCCTCTCGAGTGGCTGGAATTACAGGTGTGTGCCACCATGCCCAGCTAATTTTTATATTTTTAGTAAAGACAGGGTCTCACAATGTTGGCCAAGCCGGTCTCGAACTCCTGGCCTCGCGATCTGCCCACCCTGGCCTCCCAAAGGGCTGGGATTACAGGCATGAGCCACCGCGCCCGCCCTTACATTTCATTTTATACTCTTTTGTACTGTTTATTTTTATAACGATTTTTTAAAAGAAAAGGATGATTAGTGCTTTATCATTAAAAATAGGCTAACCTTATCACAAGTGTCACAACAATGATACATATACCCACCTGGGGACCTTCCTCCAAAGACTAGTAGCAGTAAGTCTACAAAAAGAAGAGAGATTTCCTCTTTCTAGCTCATTGCTTGAAATCACTTCTGGTTTCTAGGGAGCATAAATTCTGAGGCTATATTCTCCAAAAGGAAGTCGAAGGGGTACCTCTTTTCCAACAATGTTAAAGTAATTCTAGGGTTAATGTTTTGCCAAACTGGGAGATTCCACAGAAATATGTCCCAGTGACTCAGGAGGCTGAGGTGGGAGATCACTTTAGCCTGGAAGTTTGCAACCAGCCTGGGCAACATGACGAGACCTCAACTCTACAAAAAAATGTAAAAACTTAGCCAAGCATGGTGGAACACACCTGTAGTCCCAGCTACACAGGAGACTGAGGCAGGAGGATGGCTTGAGCCCAGGAGTTCAAGGCTGCAGTGAGATATGATCGCATTATCAAAAGAGAGCAAGATCCCCAATTCAAAAAAAAGGAAAAAAGAGAAAGAGGAAGAAAGAGAGAGAAAGAAAAGAAGGAAAGAAGGAAGGAAAGGAAGGAAGGAAGAAGGAAGGAATGAAAAGAAAAGAAGGAAAAAATAAATAGTAACTTATGAAACTGCTTTGAAAACTGGGATGGGTATTACGAGGAATTTTCAGAAGTTAGGAATTTATACTACATTTTCAGGTTTATTTTTTTAATTAGGATGATATAATTGTGCCAATTTTGAATCACAATTTGAGCTAATCATACATAACCAAGAGCTGCCCTCAGCCCAGCACAAGAGAGGCGTACCAGGCAAAGGCCACCCAGGAGGGCAAAGCCCTGCAGGGCTCCAGCTGAAAGCAGTGGGCATGGGCCTGGCTCACAGCTACCAGCCAGCTGATTTCTAAGCCAGTGCATTGAGGAATAAAATGAGAATTCAAGGCCAAGATTGCAGGTACAGGTTACACGACCACTCACTCACTCTTCGGTGCTAAAATCAAGTCCTTCAGTGGAAATACATAATACATGGCATTCTAGTGGAGAGGGTGGTGACAGAGGGCTGGCAACCATCACTGCCACCACTCTGTTCACATCCCTTGGGTGCGGAGAAACAACAACACAGGATGTAAATAAGAAATGTTGGTATCTTAACTGATCAGTGCATCACGGGCAGCCAAGGTGGTTAACAAAGCCAACTCTCCCTTCATTCTGCAATGACATGGTGATGCTGAATCTCTCTGTCCATGGCCAGAAGCAGGCGCCACTGCCCTCAACAGCTCCTGGGACAACACTGCAGGCCTCTGTTCCACTTCTATCAAAATTCTATTGTTTTGTTTATTTTAGGTTAAGCCTAATTCCTTCAGAACTTGGGAGGTAGTTTATCAAAACTGCATGCCTGACTGGTAGGAGAGGAAATGAACACAAGGCATGTATTGCAGATAATCCACTTCCCCACAGTAATACAGGAAAATGATCAGTGCTTCAAAACCATCACAAAGGATGGGGTAAGTGATAGAGGGACGGGAGATAAGCAAATGTTCTAGTTTTCAAATGGAAGGAAGAAGACACGATCCACAAATCCATATACTGTGGACCAATAGCATGATGCGTAAGCAACAGTTTTAAAGTTTGTGGGTGGAGATTCTCACTTATGTCAGCTACTATGTGTCCACCCATCAGGTAGATATTATTGTCCCCATAAAACAGATAAAGAAACGCCAAGTAAAAAATTATAAAGCAGCCAGATGTGGTAGCTCACACCTATTATCCCAACATTTTGGGAGGCTGACGCAGGAGAATCACTTGAACCCAGGAGTTCTAAACTAGCCTGGGCAACAGAGCAAGGCCGCATCTCTAAAAAATATTTAAAAATTTAAATCAAAAAACATGTTTAAAGCGATAATGCCCTTCAAACCCCAAAGGCTGTGCTTTCTCCCCATTCAATAGAGAAATGGAGGTCACCAGACCCAGCCGTCACTCCTGCCATATTAAACACAAATTTAGGCCAGGCGCAGTGGCTCATGTCTATGATCCCAGCACTTTGGGAGGCCAAGGAGGGCGGATCACCTGAGGTTGGGAGTTTGAGACCAGCCTGGCCAAAATGGTGAAACCCTGTCTCTACCAAAAATACAAAAATTAGCTGGATGTGGTGGTGCACACCTGTAATCACAGCTACTCGGGAGACTGAGGCATGAGAATCATTTGAACCCAGGAGGCAGAGGTTGCAGTGAGCCGAGATTGCGCCACTGCACTCCAGCCTGGGAAACACAGCAAAACTCTGGCTCAAAAAGCAAAACAAAACAACACAACACACAAATTTAATCAACAGTTCAAGCATTTACATTCCTATTTTGTTGTCTGCCCCAAATAATTTACCTTTCCCTTTTTTAAGAAATTGAAAAGTGTACCACTTATAGAATGGCCTAATTTCATAATATAAACAAACAAAAAGGATTAGGGGTCTCACGCCTGTAATCTCAGCACTTCGGGAGGCTGAGGTGGGCGGATCACCTGAGGTCTGGAGTTCAAGACCAGCCTGACCAACACGGAGAAACTCTGTCTCTACTAAAAATACAAAATTAGCCAGGCATGGTGGCACATGCCTGTAATCCCAGCTACTTGGGAGGCTGAGGCAGGAGAATCACTTGAACCCAGAGGGCAGAGTTCGTGGCAAGCCGAGATCGCGCCACTGCACTCCAGCCTGGGCAACAAGAGCGAAACTCCATCTCAAAAACAACAGCAGCAAAGGATTAAGACTTTGATAAAGAAGATTAAGGAGGGGAAAACAGAATGTTACTGCAGCTTCATGACTGTTAGACCAAGAGTTGAGCATGAAGGCACAACCCTCCTAGGCCAAGATAGTATTATTCTCCTGGGAGACAAAAAGGGCATTTGGGGTTAGTATTGTAAACTCTTGTTTTTCCTTCAGCTGATCACTGTGGAATGCTGCCAGGCCTCCTGCTGCCTGGACTCCACCAAGATTTCCTGTTCAGGGCAAAGGCTTTATTTCGCCACCAGCACACAGTTCTGTGTTAGGTAAACAAAGTGCTGGAGTCTTTGAATATGTGGAATCTCTTGGGTTGATTTGCTTTCCCCCTTGCCTTCAAACACTTCAAGTTTTCAAAGTCAATAGGAAACATCTCATGCAAAATTGAACAAGAGGCTCCTTCTTCATGCAAACTTTTGTTTGATGCACAGGCATAACTTTCCATGCCAGTCCTGAAATGGAAAGTGGCACTGGCATTCATGATTAGGTGACAAAAATGAATGACGGCCACCTTCATCAAGTATGATTTCTGCAATGGAATTTTTAGAGCACATATTATGTTAGGCCATAACTGAAATGTTCTTGTACGGTCACATATCAAGTCAAAGATAATGAACGATCACAGGATGTGGCAAAACCTGAACAAACAAAATTAGCCTGCAGGTGCCACAAGGTCATGTAAAAAACACACAGGAGCTAGATTTTCTTGTTTGTTTTTTGGTTTTTTTTTCTAGTTTTTTTTTACACTATACTAATGTCTTACAGTAACTGTATATATATATATAGTTTTTTTTTGCGATATACAAATGTCTTACAGTAACTATATATATATACAAAGACCTATAGTAAGTTACTATATATATATAGTAAGTACGGCTCATTGCAACCTCTGCCTCCTGGGTTCAAATGATTCTCATACCTCAGCCTCCTAAGTAGCTAGGATTACAGGCATGTGCCACCACGCCCAGCTAATTTTTTTTGTATTTTTAGTAGAGATGAGGTTTTGTTATGTTGGCCAGGCTGGTCTCAAACTCCTGGCCTCAAGTGATCTGCCCGCCTCGGCATCTCAAAGTGCTAACATTACAGGTGTGAGCCACTGCGCCCGGCCATACAGTAATGATATTGATCTCGCCATAAGACTGGATAACTTCCTTAATGATCGAAGGGGCAGAAGACAGGCCCTCAACCTCCAAATAGCAAGTCCACACCACCTGCTCTTTCGTCATTCTTGTTTTGTTTTTTTTTTTTAATCTTTTTTATTTTTTTGAGACAGAGTCTCACTCTGTCATCAGGCTGGAGTGCAGTGGCGCGATCTCGGTTCACTGCAACCTCCACCTCCCAGCTTCAAGCGATTCTCCTGCCTTAGCCTTCTGAGTAGCTGGGACTACAGGTGTGTGCCACCACGCCCAGCTAATTTTTTTTTTATTTTTAGTAGAGATGGGCTTTCACCATGTTGACCAGGATGGTCTCGATCTCTTGACCTTGTGATCTGCCTGCTTCGGCCTCCCGAAGTGCTGGGATTACAGGTGTGAGCCACCGCGACTGGCCCTTGTTTTTTTTTAAATGTTAAATCTAATGCCTAGAATTCTGGAGACTCCCCTGAAGCCACAGGCTCCCACATTTGGGAGAGCTTTCATTCTTTCTATCAGATTTTCAAAAGGATCTACAGACTGGGCTTGGTGGCTCATGCCTATAATCCCAATGCTTTGGGAGGCTGAGACGGAAGGATCACTTGAGGCCAGGAGTTCAAGACCAGCCTGGGCAACATAGTGAGACCTTGTCTCTACAAAAGAATTTTTTTAAAAAATTAGCCAGGCATGGTGGTACTCATCTCAAGTCCCAGCTACCTGGGAGGCTGAGGTAGGTCTGCTAGAGCCCAGGAGTTCAAAGCTGCAGTGAGTTATGATCACGCCACTATACTCTAACCTGGGTAACAGAGCAAAACTTTGTCTCAAAGAAAATGAAAAAGAAAAAAAAAAGATCTGCAATCAAATAAGGTGAAGAACAAATGTGTTCACAAGGCCCCCTGGTCTTCAGGAATGCTGGATTGAAATACGGCCCCTCTTGAGTTGCTTATTGACTGTATATTAAAGGCAAGAATAAGCCCAGAACAGCGAGAAGGGAAGGCCGGGACTGGTAATCAAGCCAGATGGAAGCCAGAGCAAAATGGAACCCATTTAACACTTTGTCTTGGTCCTGGCCCTGCAGTGAGTGATGAAGAATTCTTGGTATAATCATTAAAAGAAAGCTCAAGAGGCCGGGCACAGTGGCTCACGCCAGTAATCTCAGCACTTTAGGAGACCAAGGTGGATGAATTGCTTGAGACACTGGGCAACGTGGCGCACATGTGTAGTCCCAGCTACCCAGGAGGCTGAGGTGGGAAGATCACCTGAGCCCAGGAGGTCTAGGCTGCAGTGAGCCATGATCACGCCACTGCACTCCAGCCTGAGCAACAGAGTGAGACCCTGTCAAAAAAATGAAAAGAAAAAGAAAAATAGAAAGGAAGAAAGGAAGGAAAGAAGAAAAGAAAAGACATGGATATAGCTTGGAGGAGAGGTGGTGATGACATCGATGGCTAACATGGATCAGACACTTACAAAGCACCAGGTACTGCTCTAACCACTTTGTAAGTATCACTGCATCTCATACTAACCCTAGTACCTTATGATGTACGTACTAGTATTATTCAAAGTTTCCAAATGAGGAAAGTGTGGCCCAGAAGGATTAAGAAGCTTGCCCAAAGTCACAGAGCTAGTGGGTAGCAGATCTGGCCCCAGGAAGTCTGACCCCTAACAGTGTCTCAAGAGACCCAATCCAGATAGAGGCCACCAACAGGAAAGCAGGGCCTGGAGGACCAAGGACATCCTTTCACAAAGCTGAGAAGGTGCAAAGAGCAAGCATGGTGGCTGGGTCAGGGAAATTGCAAGGAAAAATAAGCAGCAATACAAGGGAAGTTGGGATCTGGACATGCTTTTTCTTTGGATCCTGGCAGCTTCCTGGGCAGGAGAAATTCCTTAAAAGGCCCTCACAGGACTCTAACTTGTTTCCAAATCCAAACTTCTCTGTAAGATAGAATAATGGTATAATAATAACAATGATAATTTTTAAAAACAGTGTATGCATTTTTCCTGTGGTAAGTTTAGAACCATCATTCAATTCAATGAGTACCCACTGAGAACATCCAATGTAGCACACACAGTACTAGGCACAATGCTTTTGAACACGGAACTTTATAGTGGAGACTTATGTAACTTCCATAGCACATTAAAGATCAAATGTTAAGACATTTCCAAATGTTAAAATAGAGCACTCCTCCTAATTTTCCCATCTATGGGATACGGGGGGCGGGGGAATCAATCTCCCAGGTTATTCCTGTGAGAGTACTCTAATAAATTACTCTGTCTTTTGTACAGGGTCCTCTCCTCCCTGCTATATCTTCAGGAGCCACTCCCATCTTCCAGAGGAGCCCTGCCCTGTGCACACTTGAGCTGTGGCTTCTTCCTTCCAGTAGAGCCCATCTGTCCTGGCCTTTGAAGGAGTTAATCAAGCCATATGTCAAACATTTTCCATTCTCCCCTCTCCAGGCCACTGACAGGACTGCACGTCCTGGGGCCACGTAAGTAGTCCTGAGCAATGAACTGTGAGTAGGATACTTGATTCTCGTTCACTTCCAGGGCAGAGCATTCAACTGCCAATGAGAAGCCCTTCGGAGTTCTCTTTTTGCCTCTGTAAGGCAATAGCAACATTCAAGATGGTGGCTGGGCCAGGCATGGTGGCTCATGCCTATAATCGCAGCACTTTGGGAGGCGGAAGTGGGTGGATCGCTTGAGGTAAGGAGTTTGAGACTAGTCTGACCAACATGGTGAAACCCCGTCTCTACTAAAAATACAAAATTAGCTGGCCTGGTGGCACACGCCTGTAATCCCAGCTACTTGGGAGGCTGAGGCAGGAGAATGGCTTGAACCTGGGAGATGGAGGTTGCAGTGAGCCAAGATCGCACCACTGCACTCCAGCCTGGGTGATAAGAGAGAAACTCTGTCTCAAAAAGAAAAAAAAAAAAAAAAAGATGGTGGCTGTTAGGTCCCTAAACAACTAGCCCTCTGACAGTCCAAATGAGCATGAATGAGAAATAGTCTATAGTTTTTTAAACAACTTCAATTTGGGAGTTGTTACCACAGCATAATTTAGCCTTTCCTGATGCACAGCCTTTCAATGATGCTCAAAATTTCTGATCCATAGTCATCACCTCTTCTTCCTTTTCAGGAGATATAGACATACGCACACACACACACACAGGTATAGATACAGATAAAGATGGATTTATACATAGATGTAATTTTTTTCTTGTCATCTCTTAGAGTTTGAGGTAGAAGAAAAGGGATGGAACTGGTGTGCCCTACAAGTCACCTTGATCCAACCTCTGTACATAAATTCTTTTTTTTTTTTTTTTTGAGACAGTCTCGGTCTGTTGCCCAGGCTGGGGTGCAGTGGCACAATCTTGGCTCACTGCAACCTCCGCCCCAGGTTCAAGCAATTCTCCTTTCTCAGCCTCCTGAATAGTTGGGATTACAGGTGTCTGCCACCGTGCCCAGCTAATTTTTGTATTTCTAGTAGAGGGTTTCATCATGTTGGCCAGGCTGGTCTCGACCTCCTTACCTCAAGTGATCCACCCACCTTGGCCTCCCAAAGTGCTGGGAGTACAGGCGTGAGCCACCACGCCCGGCCCTATAAATTATTTAAATACAAAAAATAAATAGAAGTTGTAAAGAGCCTTTAAAGAAATCTCACAATTTGAATTTGGAAATATACAGATAGAAAAGTTTTTTATAGGAAAAAAGGCACAAATGATGTCTTGGAGTATAAAAAGCAATGTACTTTGTATGAACTTCCAAGACAGTGTGGGAAGAATCTTTGCTGTAGCTCAGGCAGCCTTGAAACTATTGACATGTTTGGGCTGCAATTCTTTGTTGTGGGAGAGGGCTGCACTGTGCATTGTATCATGCTTAGCTTCATCTCTGGCCTTTATGCACTACATGCCAGTAGCACTGCCCCCTACCCAGTTGCAACAACCAAAAATGTCTCCAGACATTGCCAAATACCCCCTGAAGGACAAAATCACTTTGAGAACCACTGCTCTAGCAATAATCACGTATGGCCTTAAACCCTTTCTTACAGAATTGGGCCACATTTTCCATTCAAAAGAGATTAGCTCTTTCATGTTTATGTACTGACACAAGTATGGTTCCAATGCCATACAACTGGGTCCAAGACAAATCATTCCAGGTTCTCATGTTTAGGTCAATGATATCTTACCACCTTTTCCAGAATTACTTCTAGGGTATGAATCTTGAGTTTGTAAGTATCCTTTTAAAAAGACTTACACTTCATGAAGGCAATTTGAAAGGAATATGGTACTGACCCTATAGTAAGAAGGCCATTCCCTATATGCACATGCCAATCTCTCATCAAGAGCTGAGTCAATTCCTTCACTCTTTGAATTTGAGCTGGCCTGTGATAACAGAAGGCTGGGCGCGGTGGCTCACACCTGTAATCCCAGCACTTTGGGAGGCCAAGGTGAGCAAATTGCTTGAGCTCAGGAGTTTTGAGACCAGCCTGGGCAACATGGCAAAACCCTGTCTCTCCAAAAAAAAAAAAAAAAAAAAAAAAAATTAGCCAGGCATGGTGGTGCATGTCTGTAGTCTCAGCTACTTGGGGGGCCAAGATAGGAGGATTGTTTGAACCCGGGAAGTTGAGGCCGCAGTGAGCCAAGATGGTGCCAATGCACTACAGCCTCAGGGACAAAGTGAGACCCTGGCTCAAAAAGAAAGAGAGAAAGAAAGCAAGAAAGAGAGAGAGCGAGAGAGAGAGAATAGGGGAGGGGAGGGGAGGGAATGCAACAGAAGTGAGGCTAGCCTTTAATTTTTTTTTTTTTCTGAGACAGAGTCTCGCTCAGTCATCCAGGCTAGAGTGCAGTGGTGCAATCACGACTCACTGCAACCTCCGCCTCCCAGGCTCAGGTGATCCTCCCACCTCAGCCTCCTGAGTAGCTAGGACTACAAGTGAACGCCACCATGCCTGGCTAATTTTTGTATTTGTATTTTTTTGTAGAGACGGGGTTTTGCCATGTTGCCATGTAGAGACTCACAAATGGTCTCAAACTCCTGGGCTCAAGTGATCCACCCACCTTGGCCTTCCAAAGTATGGGGATTACAGGCATGAGCCCCCACAACTGGCTGAGGCTAGTTTTTAAGAGAACTGAGGGAGGCTGAGGTGGGCGGATCACGAGGTCAGGAGATCGAGACCATCCTGGCTAACCCGGTGAAACCCCATCTCTATTAAAAATACAAAAAAATTAGCCGGGCACGGTGGTGGGTGCCTGTAGTCCCAGCTACTCTGGAGGTTGAGCCAGGAGAATGGCGTGAACCTGGGAGGCGGAGCTTGCAGTGAGCCGAGCTCTCGCCACTGCACTCCAGCCTGGGCGACAGAGTAAGACTCCGTCTCAAAAAAAAAAAAAAAAAAGAAAACTAAAATGTTAGGCCAGGCGCAGTGGCTTACGCCTGTAATCCCAGCACTTTGGGAGGCCGAGGCGGGCGGATCACAAGGTCAGGAGATTGAGACCATCCTGGCTAACACGGTGAAACCCTGTCTCTACTAAAAATACAAAAAATTAGCCAGACATGGTGGCAGGCGCCTGTAGTCCCATCTACTCAGGAGGCTGAGGCAGGACAATGGTGTGAACCCGGGAGGCGGAGCTGGCAGTGAGCCGAGATCACGCCACTGCACTCTAGCCTGGGTGACAGAAAGACTTCGTCTCAAAAAAAAAAAAAGAGAACTGAGAGTTTCTACTTTTCTTCTCTTGGAAGGCTCACTCTTGCGATTTCCCCTCTCAGAACTCAGCCACCATGTTGTCAGAAGCCTGAGCCACATGGGCATGGAGAGACCACAGGTGGCCACTTCAGCTGACAGCCCAGCTGGGCTCCCAGCTGATGACTAGCATCAACTATCAGCCATGTGAATGAGCAGCCTTGAACATTCCAGACCATTCAAGCCCCCAAGTGACTGCAGCCCCAGCCAATATCACATGGACCATAAGAACCACTCAGCTGAAGCACATCAACCCACAAAATTGTGAGAGAGAACATAATGGTTGTTGTTCCACACCACTAAATTTTGGGGTAGTTAGGCAGCAAGAGATAACCAAAACAAGGCCTCTGATTCAACTGCTGTTGATGACAGAGAACAGAGGGTCATATCTACATGTATAATAGGCATAGAGCCTAAGCAGTAGCCCAGGAAATAGTGAACAAAGAGGCCTGGGACACTGGCAAGCCTAGGACTGCAGGTATCAGTGAAATCAAGTGACTGGATGTTCATGAGTAGCAAAGGCATTATAAATGTGACTTATTAAACAAGTTAGACATGTCTCCAGTCAAATATGATTTGACTAAACATACAATTTTACATGCCCATCACTGTCACAGATACTATAATACTGTGTCTAGTAAGTAAGTAGGGACAGTGTGCTGGGACTGGGACTATATGGGACTTCACACATATTCTTCTTCTTCTTTTTTGAGATGGAGTCTAGCTCTGTCACTCAGACTGGAGTGCAGTGGTATGTTCATAGCTCACTTGCAGCCTTGACCTCCAGGACTCAAGCAATCCTCCCACCTCTGCCTCTTGAGTAGCTGGGACTACAGGCACTCGTCACCATGCCCAGCTTATTTTGTTTATATTTTGTAGAGATGGGGTCTCACTATGTTGCCCAGGCTGATCTTGAACTCCAGAGCTCAAGCCATCCTCCTAACTCAGGCTCCCAAAGTGTTGGGATTACAGGCATGAGCCACTGTGCCCAGCCCACACACATTATTCTTAATCCTCACAAGAGTATAAAATGTAAGCATACTAATCACTCCCTTGCTCCCCTCTCCCTCTTTCCTTTCCTAATTCCTTTCCTTCCCCCTTTTGTTTTTCCTTATTTCATCAAGAAGAGTAGTTTTAAATTTTTAAAATCACAGCATCCATTGTTAGATGAATAAAGCTTCCTATCATTACTTTGGAGCAAAAGATAGAATCCAGAGCTCTGGGTCTGTTTTTCTTCCAATTCTTCCTAATATGCTGAGAGATATGCAATAATACTTCTCATTTTCCTGGCTAGTTAGAAACAACTTCAGCTTCTCATGCCTGTTGAAGGTTGAGTTAATATTTGAAAAGTGATATGCCGATTTACAGTCTAAAACTGTAGACTGTAAAACTGCAGCCAATTATCCTTTAACTCACCTCTCCACCTTTTTTTTTTTTTTTTTCTGAGACAGGGTCTTGTCCTGTTGTCCAGGCTGGAGTGCAGTGGTGCAATTATGGCTCACTGCAACCTCCGCCTCTTGGGCTCAAGCAATCCTTCCACCTCAGCCTCTAGAGTAGCTGGCACTATATGCGCATGCCACTCTGCCTGGCTAATTTTTTGTATTTTTTTGTAGAGATGGGGTTTCTCCATGTTGCCCAGGCTGGTCTCAAACTCCTAGACTCAAGTGATCCACCCGCCTTAGCCTCCCAAAGAGCTGGAATTACAGGCATGAGCCACTGCGCCCGGCCTCATCTCCCCCCTTTCTAACTCACGCTGAAAATGTTTCAAATTCAAATTTAGGGAATTCGCTATGGGTTTTAAAAAAGAGATAAAGCAATGGAAAACCATAGGGTGCCTTTCACATAGACCACAAAAGAAAAAACTCTAGAGGGGCAACTCAAATCATAGTTTAGCAATTATCTGTTTCTTATTATGATTTTTCTATGCCTTTTTATAGTAATATATTAATAACATTAATAACTATGACCAATAGTTCAATTAAAAAAATACTTTAGATAATTTTGAGAGTGCTCACAGTAAGAAAACTCTGAGGTCTTGTAATAAACAGCTATAAAAATGTTTCCTCTAAGATCTGATTAAAATTTGGATTATTGCTCTTTTGCTTTGGTAAATGTATAACAACATTCTAATTTCTATTCCTTAAGTAATGATTTCTAGCACCACCCAGAATGTAATAGCTTCAACAGCTAATCTTTACATAGAGAATTCTGATGTGGAGAAATAAGTAGATATCTACTGTTCCGGAATAGATGATATTTTCTTTCTTTCTTTTTTTTTTTTGAGACAGAGTCTCGCTCTGTTGCCCAGGCTGGAGTGCAGTGGTGCGATCTCGGCTCACTGCAAGCTCTGCCTCCCGGGTTCTGGGTTCATGCCATTCTCCTGCCTCAGCCTCCCGAGTAGCTGGGACTACAGGTGCCCGCCACCAAACCCGGCTAATTTTTTTTTTGTATTTTTAGTAGAGACGGGGTTTCACCGTGTTAGCCAGGATGGTCTCGATCTCCTGACCTCGTGATCCACCTGCCTCGGCCTCCCAAAGTGCTGGGATTACAGGCATGAGCCACCACACCCGGCCAATAGATGATATTTTTTGTAATGAGTTTGTTCATTTCTATTTGTTCTGTGTAGTTATGAAACTTACACAGCCTGATTTTTTTTTTTTTTTTTTTTTTTGCGAGACCAGAGTCTTGCTCTGTCACCCAGGCTGGAGTGCAGTGGCATGATCTCAGCTCACTGCAACCTCTGCCTCCCGGGTTCAAGCAATTCTCCTGCCTCAGCCTCCCAAGTAGCTGGGATTACAGGCACGTGCCACCACATCCAGCTAATTTTTTGTATTTTTAGTACAGAGGGGGGTTTTGCCATATTGGCCAGGCTAGTCTTGAACTCCTGACTTCAAGTGATCTGCCCACCTTGGCTTCCCAAAATGCTGGGATTACAGGGATTAGCCACCATGCCCAGCCTATACAGCCTGATTTTATCACTTTGGTTTTGCGTGTGTGTGTGTGTTTTTTGTTTTGTTTTGTTTTTGTTTTTTTTGAGACAGAGTCTCACTCTATCCCTCAGGCTGAAGTACAGTGGTGTGATCTCGGCTTACTGCAACCTCTGCTTCCTGGGTTCAAGTGATTCTTGTGCCTCAGCCCCCCGAGTAGCTGGGATTACAGGTGTGTGCCACCACGCCTGGCTAATTTTTGAATTTTTAGTAGAGACAGAGTTTCACCATGTTG
Source organism: Homo sapiens (assembly GCF_000001405.40). Lineage (NCBI taxonomy): Eukaryota > Metazoa > Chordata > Mammalia > Primates > Hominidae > Homo > Homo sapiens. The sequence continues at coordinate 5,795,050 of NC_000020.11, read as the reverse complement.
GCCAGGCTGGTCCCGAACTCCTGACCTCAGATGATCTGCCCACCTTGGTCTCCCAAAGTGCTGGGATTACAGGTGTGAGCCACCAAGCTCGGCCATCACTTTGTTTACATATGTAAACAAATAAGTTTACATATCTTATTTTCCCAACTAGACGATCAACTCCATGAGCACAGGAATCCTGTGTTCTCACTGATTTATATCACCCTCAATCTGTAGCACGGTACAGAGAAAACAATTTTAAAAATGGTCTCATTCATTTCACTGATTAGACGTCTAATAAACATAGTATCTAATACAGTCTCACAAACATGGCTTTGCTTAAAGACACCCCAGATTAACAGGGATCCTTCACCATAAGACTATTTGTAGAATACAACATAGGAACACCTTTCAAATACAAATCAAAGCACTTTGCAAATAAGAAGGCATCTGTTGACAAATATACATGACACTCACAATGAAGAGATTATATAAGAACAGGATGCAATAATTTGCCTAAAATTATATCCAAAGTTAGCAGAAAATATATATTTTCATAGCAAATGCTAAGAAGTAATTCTATAGATACTTTTGGTCAGTGTTAATCCGAATAACTTCTCTGTAAGGGGCCTGTCCCAGGAAAAGTCACTTTTTTGCCTCGTACTGAGCAACATAAAGAAGTGGAAGTCTTAGACTCCTGAAAGGAACTCAAGAAAGAAGTGAATCCAGAAACCAACCCCAGTAGCAGCACTAGTTGTAACAGCAGTGGTGGTAATGACAGCTAGCCTTTGCTAAGTCTACTCAGCTCCAGGTGTCTCACTCAATCCTCATGACAACCTATGAAGCAGATAGTGTTATTGTCCTCATCTTATAGATGAGGAAACTAAGAAAGAGTGAAGTGCAGTCACTTGCTCAAGGTCAGAAAGCTAGCATGTTTAGCTAGCTATAGAATCAAGGTGAAAACTCAGACCAGTCAGGCTCCAAAACAAACAAACAATCAGAAAATGTAGAACGTGATTTTTTTTTTTAAGTGAGGGGAACATCTAAAACCAGAGAGAAAGGGGCCTGGCGTGGTGGCTCAGGCCTGTAATCCCAGCACTTTGGGAGGCTGATGTGGGCAGATCACCTGAAGTCAGGAGTTCAAGACCAGCCTGGCCAACATGGTGAAACCCTGTCTCTACTGAAAATACAAAAAAATTAGCCAGGCACGGTGGCATGTGCTTATAATCCCATCTACTCAGGAGGATGAGGCAGGAGAATCACTTGAACCAGGGACGAAGGTTGAAGTGAGCCGAGATCGTGTCACTGCACTCCAGCCTGGGCAACAAAAGTGAAAGAAAAAAAATACCAGAGAGAAAGGAATACAATGATTAAATAAATAACATTGAGACAACTGGCTTCCATTTGGAAAACAATAGAGCTATCATCTTGTTTCATACTTTACCCTAAAATAAAGACTTCAAAGTTGAAAATTAAACTTTTAAAAATACTAAGAAATGGAGGTGCCTATTTATATAATCTTGGAAAGCAAGAATGGTTTTCCTAATTTTATGCTAAAGCAGAAGCATTGATTGATAAGCTTGACTATATAGGAATCTAAAATCTCTATACATCAAAAAAAACCCACAACGTGAGCCACTGTGCCTGGCCTAATGTGGAATTTTAAAAGGCAAGTTGCAGAACAGCATGTTTTTGTTACAGGTTTTTTGTTGTTAAAATCTCTACATAAACAAATGCACTAAAATACATAAATTTACATGCACATATTTATCCACACTAAAATATATTTATAGGTACATCAAAAAAGAATACATACAGACCTCCAAATAGCAAAAACAATTCCGAGGAAAAAAAAAGTTGGAGGACCCACACTTCCTGATTCAAAACATAGCTACAGTAATCAAAACAGTGTGGCACTGTCATAAAGACAGACATACGGACCAATGGAACAGGACAAAGACCCAGAAATAAACCCTTACGTATATGCTCAAATGATCTTTGACAAGGGTGCCAAGACTACTCAATAGGGAAAAGAAGGTCTCTCCAACAAATGGTGAGGGGAAAACAGCATATCCACATGCAAAAGAACAAAGTCGAGGCCAGGCGTGGTGGCTCATGCCTGTGATCTCAGCAGTTTGGGAGGCCGAGGTGGGCAGATCACTTGACATCGGGAGTTCGAGACCAGCCTGGCCAACATGATGAAACCCCGTCTCTACTAAAAATACAAAAAATCAGCCAGGCATATTGGCGCACGCCTGTAATCCCAGCTACTCGGGAGGCTGAGGCACATGAATCTCTTGAACCCAGGAGCCAGAGGCTACAGTGAGCCGGGATCATGCCACTGGACTCCAGCCTGGGCAACAGACCAAGACTCTTTTTCTTTTTTTTTTTTAAAAAAAAGAAAACGGCAGATCACCTGAGGTCAGGAGTTCGAGACCAGCCTGGCCAACATGGTGAAACTCTGTCTCTACTAAAAATTCAAAAATTAGCCAGGCGTGGTGGCACACACGTGTAATCCCAGCTATTTGGGGGACTGAGGCATGAGAATCGCTTGAACCCAGGAAGCAGAGGTTGCAGTAAGCCGAGATCATGCCACTGTACTTCAGCCTGAGGGATACAGTGAGACTCTGTCTCAAAAAAACAAAAACAAACAAACAAACAAAAAGATAAAAAGAACAAACTCAAAACCTTATCTTACACAATATACAAAAATTAATTCAAAAATGGATTAAAGACCTAAACATAAGCCCTAAAACTATAAAACTCCTAGAAGAAAGCACAGAGGAAAAGCTTCATGACATTAGACTTGGCAATGATTTCTTAGACATGACACCGAAAGTACAGGAAACAAAAGCAAAAATGGACAAACTCAAAAACTTTTGCACATCAAAGGACATAATCAACAGAGTGAAAAGGCCATCTATAAAAAGGAAGAAAATATTTGCAAATCACATATCTGATAAGAAGTTAGTATCTAGAATACATAAAGAACTCCTACAACTCAATAACAAAAAAAATCAACCCAATTTTAAAAATAGGCAAAGGATTTCAATAGATGTTTCTTCAAAGATGGTATGCAAATGGCCAATAAACATGTGGAAAATATGTTCAACGTTACCAATCATCAGAAAAGTGCAAGTCAAAACCAGAGTGAGATATCACCTCACACCCATTAGGATGGTCACTATCAAAAAAGCAGAAAATAACAAGTGTTGTTGGCAAGGATGTGGAGAAACTGAATTGTGTATTGACCTGTAAAAGTGAACTGCATTTTTTTTTGAGAGTCGAGTTTTGAGAGTTCTTTACATATTGTAGAAACTAGTTCTTTGTCAGGTATGGGATTTGCAAATATTTTCTCCCAGTCTGTGGCCTGTCTTTTCATTCTCTTCACATGGGCTTTCACAAAGCAAAGGTTTTTAATTTTTATGAGGTCCAATTTATCAATGTTTGGCTATATTTTTCAGTTCTATCATTTATATCATTTCCTTTTTTTTTTTTTTTTTTTTTTGAGACAGGGTCTTGCTTTGTGGTCCACGCTGGAGTGCAGTGGTGCAATTATGGCTCACTGCAGCCTCGACCTCCAGGACAATAGCGATCCTCCCAGCTCAGTTCCCGAAGTAGCTGGGACTACATGAGTGCCCCATCACACCCAGCTAATTTTTGTATTTTTTGTAGAGACGAGGTTTCGCCATGTTACCCAGACTGGTCTTGAACTCCTGGGCTCAAGCCATCTACTGCCTCAGCCTCCCAGAGTGCTAGGATTACAGGTGGAAGCCACTGTGCCCAACTGACTTGCTTCTTTTTATAACTTTTATTTATTTGCTAAGATTTTCTGTTTTTTCATTATTTCAAGAGAACTTATAATTGATTGTTCAGGCATTTTTATAATGGCTGCTTTAAAATCCTTGTCAAATAAGGTATTTCTCTGTTGCTCAAGATGGCATATAGTGGCACAATCACAGCCCACTGCAGCTTTGAACTCCTGGGATCAGGCGATCCTCTTGCCTCAGCCTCCCAAGTAGCTAGGACTAAAAGTGCGTGCCACCCTGCCTGGCAAATTTTTTTATTTTTTGTAGAGACAGGGTCTTACTATATCATCCAACGTGGTCTCAAACTCCTGGCCTCAAGTGATCCACCTGCCTCAGCCTCCCAAAGTGCTGGGAGTACAGGCGTGAGCCACCGCGCTCAGCCATGACTGTCTTTTTTCATTCAAGTCGTAATTTTTTGGTTCTTGGTATGACAAGTGATCTTTAGTTGTATCTAAACATTTTGTCTATTACATTTAGAGAATTTTGGTCCTACTGAAATCTTTTATTTTGGCCAGGCGTGGTGGCTCACACCTGTAATCCCAGCACTTTGGGAGGCCAAGGTGGGTGGATCACCTGAGGTCAGGAGTTCAAGACCAGCCTGGCCAACACGGTGAAACCCCGTCTCTACTAAAAATACAAAAAAATAGCCGGGCATGGAGGCAGGTGCCTGTAATCCCAGCTTCTCAGGAGGCTGAGGCGGGAGAATAGCTTGAACCCAGGGGGCGGAGTTTGCAGTGAGCCGAGATCGCACCATTGCACTCCAGCCTCGGTGAAACAGTGAGACTCCAACTCAAAAAAAAAAAAAAAAAAAGAAATCCTTTATGTTAGCATGCAGGTCCTGGCCTACTTTTGTGATTGTGGTTTCAATGAAAGTTTAATTTTCAGTGCTTTTGCTGTTTTTGATCTGTTTGGTTTATCTGGAACTGCTGAGTTTCCACAGGCTCCTGCTAGTGCTGCCTGAAGGAATGGAAGATGTTTTCCCAGGCCTCATGCTCAGAGTATGGGAATCTCTAGGGGAGGAAGGAAGTTTCAGGCTCCCTGGGAGGAAGAAGGTCCCTGGGTTGGGCTGTCTGAGGTAGTGGGATCCCCTCTGCCAGTGCCCCCCAGCTCCCCAGTGAATGTAGGCAGGGGAGGGAGGCTCTGGCCCAGGGGAACAAAGAGGCTTCCCAGGCCAGATCATTTGTTGAACTGGCAGAATCCTCCCACATGTGCATGCTTGCCACAGAGCTCTCACTCAGCAGGGGAAGGAAGTCCCAGGCCCTCTGAAGGTGAGCACTTCCTCTGGCTACTTAGTGGCCTCCTATTAATCTCCCCTTCCCGGGGGCTGGGCTTTCCTGGTCATGTTGGATAGATAATCTGTCAGTCCTGGGGAGAAGGTCCCGGGCCACCTTCTTGTTGCTAGGTTGCAGGTTAGGATGCACTGGGTCTGGGTCACCTTCTTCAGTTGGGTAGGAGGACAGAAGACACTCGGACACCATATTGTTCCTCCAGTCCTGGGGCCCCAAACTAATTCACCTTCTTACTAAATCTCCAAGTTCTCCTTTGGTTGCCTCTTGCATTTCCAGGGTTCATAGTTGCTTAGCAGGGAAGAACAAGGAGAAATAGTTTCATGCCATCTTATTAGATTACAAGTTCCAAAAGTTTTTTTTTTCTCAATTTTGTGATTACTTTTTTTTTTTTTTTTTTAGATCAAGTTTTGCTCTTGTCACCCAGGCTGGAGTGCAATGGCACAATCTCAGCTCACTGCAACCTCTGCCTCCTGGGTTCAAGTGATTCTCCTGCCTCAGCCTCCCTAGTAGCTGGGATTACAGGTGCCCACCACCACGCCCAGCTAATTTTTGTATCTTTAGTAGAGACAGGGTTTCACCATGTTGGCCAGGCTGGTCTCAAACTCTTGACCTTAGGTGATCTGCCCACCTTGGCCTCCCAAAGTGTTGGGATTACAGGTGTGAGCCACTGCACCTGGCCAATTACCCTTTAATGGTACTATAATTTCATCAAAAAAGTAAAATTTAAATCCTTTGGTCTTATCTTTGCCAAAAAAAAAAAAAAAAGCACAACTTTTATTGGCAAACGTATAAAGAAAAATCAGACATCACTTTTTCTTTTCTTCTTTTTTGTTTTTTTGTTTTTGAGACAGTCTCACTCTCTCTGTCTCCCAGGCTGGAGTGCAGTGGCTCGATCTCAGCTCACTGCAACCTTCTGGGTTCAAGTGAATCTCATGCCTCAGCCTCCCAAGTAGCTGGGATTACAGGTGCGTGCCACTATGCCCAGATAATTTTTTGTATTTTTAGTAGAGACAGGGTTTTTACCATGGTGGCCAATCTGGTCTCGATCTCCTGATCTCAAGTGATCCACCTGCCTCAGCCTCCCAAAGTGCTGGGATTACAGGCATGAGCCACTGAGCCCAGCAAAAAAAATTAGACATCACTATTCATGTGTGTATTCTAGCCTGAAATCAACCCAGCTGGATAAATGAAAAAAGATTTCAAATTATATAATTCATGTGCAGTGAATATAACTAACAGTGGTGACCTTAAGAGAAATTACCTCCTTGGATTTCAGTTGAGTAAAATAATCTCTGAGAACTTTTAATTCTACCTCGAGTAGGCACAGAACTCTGCAAAGAACAAATGAGAAAGGTTTAACACACATCTGGTACGTTTAAATTCTTTTTCTCAGTAAGGCTCAGGAAAGTGTAACAAGTAGCCACCAGAGGGCAGTAGACTCAAACACTGTCTGATAGCAAGAACTCGCCAGGCACCACCTCCAGGCCTAGGCTCAGAGCAGCAGCTCTCTGGGTATTATTGGCTGAAAACATGCAATATTATTTTAACCATTTTTCCTCAAACTCAACTTCTAAAATGGTGTTAGTCTGAGGGTCACTTCCTCATCTTATTTATACTGCATTTTACAATCCCTAATATTTTCCAATTTGTAAAAGAAAATTCTGGACAAAACAACAACTACTGAATATACTAGGAAGAAATGGGGGTACACCTCTGTTTTTTTGTTTTTTACAATTTATTTAAATTTGCCCCTCAATTGTATTATTTTTAAGAAGGAAAAAAACCTCACATACTTAAAATATGGAATACAGTTTTCTTAAGAAAATAGCTTTGAAAGCAATTTAGGGGTATCCTTAAAGCCATAATTGCATACATGGTTATTACAGAAATATTTGCTAAAAAAGAAACAACTCCACTAGGAACATGCTTTCTTCATGATGGGGAAATGTAGGAATAACATTCTATTCTCAGTAGCACTATATCTCCTTACAGCTGTTCATTTCTCTACTTGTTTTCTTTTCAAGGAAAAAAAGCCAGGGGCTTTTGAGAGAGACTAGTTGACTTTCTAGTCAAGAGTTAAACAAATCTGCAGGGCTTATGTAATAATATATGCTTTTAACTTAGAAATGTTATATTATCCTACACAGATCACACAGAGCTTTAAATTTTATGATAATTTTACAAATGGATGAGCAGGGCACCGTGATAAATACTTGATCTCCATTTTTAAACCTTATCAAGTTTCACTTATATGTGTTTTTCATTTATTCATTCACCAGCCTTTACTGAGCACCTACCATGTGCCAGGAACTGACTGACCCTTATTCCCTACTCACACCAGGGTCTAGGCGTAGCAGGCAGAAGCTGCAGGCATTGTGTGATTAGGCCAGGCAGTGGGCAAAACATGAACCTGGTCAGTCAAACATGGGGGACCCAGGAATTAACATAAAAGCCTTTATCCTTAAAAGTTATGTTCTAATAAGCTGGGTTTTTGTAACTTCAAGCATGTTACCAAAAGCCAACTATCAAAAACTCCAGGGAGCTAAAAGGTTGGCCAAGGGCAGCCACTCAGCAGACAAACAGCAACTTCAAGGGCAAAGAGCCAAGAATAAGAAGAGTTCTGGCACCAGATGAGAAAATTTCTTCTGGGTAGAAAAAGTGATCAAGGGCTTCATTGATTCCAGCAAAGGGAGTTAAAATTCCTGACTTGTTTTCTTCCCTGGGTTTTCACATAAGAAGTTGGATCCTACCTGGTGTGAGAAATTTAACTGAGAAGGCAATGCCTTTGTGGGGACCAAGGCCCTTGGCCCCCTGGAGGTTTGTTGAAAATCACTGACATGAGGCAGATTGATTGATGGGAGAAAGGCATACAAATTTATTTAATGTGTATGCACTGAAGCCTTCAGAATGCAAACCCAAAGATACAGGGGAAATTGTCCATTTTTATGCTTAGGTTCAATAAACTATGGACTTTGTTGTAGAAATAAGACCTTCATATTTCTACAACAGCAGAAATAGCAGTGTGGTCAGGAGGCACACATGAGAGGATCCTGCCAATTCAACAAATGATCAAATGATCTGGCTTGAGAAGCCTTTTTGTCTTCCTGGGGCAGAGATTCCCCTTCCCTGCCCATATTCACTGGGGCAGATGGGAGGCACTGGGAAAGGGGAATCAAAGTGTAGAAATATGATTGAACAAAAAAGGTAAGATCTAATGTTAATAGATTCAGTGGGGAGCCCAGCAAGGCCTGTCTGTCTAGATTCTTCTTGGCCTCTCTGAGCAGCGCTCCTTCCTTCAGGGCATGGGACAGGACCTTCTCTGAAATGGGGGTCTTATCACCTACAGTCAAACAAAGTAGGTCAGATAATTTTTCTTTTCTTTTTTTTTTTAATTTAAAAGAGATGAGGTCTCATTCTGTCACTCAGGTTAAAGTGCAGTGGCACGACTGTAGCTTACTGTAGCCCCAACCTCCTGCGCTCAAGCAATCCTCCCACCTCAGCCTCCTAAGTACCTGGGACTGTAGGTGCATGCTACCATGCCCAGTTAATTTATTTTATTTGTAGAGGCGAGGTCTTGCTATGTTGGCCAGGCTGGTCTCGAACTCCTGGCTTCAAGCGAACCTCCCGTCTCGGCTTCCCAAAGTGCTGGGATCACAAGGGTGAGCCACTGCACCCAGCCAGATAATTTCTTTATGGCCAAGTTTTACCCAGAAAGGCAGAGGGAAAATTAGAGTAATATTTTTAGGTTCTATGGCTGGTTTGGAGAAAGGGGGTTCTGGTTTCTATGACCCACCTTGGGGAAGAGGGATTCTAGCTTCTATGGCTGGCCTTGGGTGGAGAATGAGACTCAGACAAGAGGGCAGACAAAGGTCAAAGGAAAACTTTTGCTTCTGAGGCTGCTGCAGAGACCTTCATTTTGGGGTACTGCTTTCTGAGCCCCAACACCTTCTCTCCAATTAGTGCACAAGTAGTTCAAGCTTCTTCCACAACAGGAAGATGGGAGAAATGGAAAGGAGAGCACAGTGAAGAGTGGACACAATGCTGGTCCAGTGGACCAGGAGTCACAGTCACCCTGACAGGGTACCAATATCGGCTTGAAGATACTGACTTAGTAGAAAGATGCTAGCTCAGACTTAAAGAAGTAACTGCATATTTAAAGCTTTTTTTTTTTTTTTTTGGAGACGGAGTCTTACTCTGTTACCCAGGCTGGAGTGCAGTGGCACAGTCTCGGCTCACTGCAACCTCTGTCTCCCGGGTTCAAGCAATTCTCCTGTCTCAGCCTCCCGAGTAGCTGAGACTACAGGCGTGTACCACCATGCCCAGCTAATTTTTGTATTTTTAGTAGAGACGGGGTTTCACTGTGTTGGCCAGGCTGGTCTCGAACTCCTGACCTCAGGTGATCCGCCCACTTTGGCCTCCCAAAGTGCTGGGATTACAGGCGTGAGACATCGTGCCTGGCCTAAAGCTTAATTCTTAATGCATAGTATGTAATCATACCTAGATGTCTGCATTTCTTTAAAGGTCTGCCTTTGCAGTCAACCTGACCCAGGTTTGAGTCTCAGATTTCCACCAGTCTGTGGGTAACATTAATATGAAACGAGCCTCTCTAAAACTGTTTCCTCATGAGTAACAAGGAGATCATAATAGGATTTACTTCTTGGGTGTGGCTGTGAGAATCAAAAGAACAACGTGTGTGAAATGCATAGCACAGTGCCTGAAATGTAAGTGCACAACAAATGGAAAAACCAGCCATCTTTTGGTCTTCCCTTGTGTATAGCCTTTATCTCATAAATACATAACAATGAATGAAACTAGTGACGGTGTCTGTTTGAAATGGGGGTCTTATGGCCTACGGTCTTTGGGATTGACTATTGTAATCAAGTTGTTTCCTTGTATTTTAAGAAGACATAGCTGAGTAAAAAGTCAGATGAATGCTTACTTGAAGAAGCCCTTGAGAGGAGCTATCAGGCCAGAACATGAGGTCACACTGCTGTGCACCTGGACTCGGCAGATAAGTGCCCCGGAGGTGTGGCTTGAGACAGTAACATGGCCAGTTTTTCAACTCAGTTGGGATTTCTTTTTAAAACTGTGACTGCAGGCAAAGTACACAGAAGTAAATAAGCCTCTTCCCCCATAGCACGTGCCCTTGAAACTTAAGAGTGAGGAACAACGAGAGATGTCACAGGTGGCAAATAACATTCTTGAGCTTTTAAAAATAATTCTGGGCCGGGCGCGGTGGCTCACGCCTGTAATCCCAGCACTTTGGGAGGCTGAGGCGGGCGGATCACAAGGTCAGGCGATCGAGACCAACCTGGCTAACACGGTGAAACCCCGTCTCTACTAAAAATATAAAAAATTAGCCGGGCGTGGTGGCGGGCGCCTGTAGTCCCAGCTACTCGGGAGGCTGAGGCAGGAGAATGGCGTGAACCCGGGAGGCGGAGCTTGCAGTGAGCCGAGATCGCGCCACTGCACTCCAGCCTGGACAGCAGAGGAGACTCCAACTCAAAAATAAAATAAAAAAAATTAAAAATAAATAAATAAATAAAATAATTCTATTATTATCCTCTCCAGTGACTATTTAATGTGACACATAATTTAGCAGTACATATCGAAAGTTATAGAGAACTATACTTTTTTAGTTTTAAAGAAGGGATAGAGAAGTTACAGTTAGTCTGCACAGAGGGTCACCCAGAAAATAGGAGTTGCCAGGTTACTACATGGCCTTGGGTGATTTTCTTCATTATCCTGGGATTCAACTTCCCCATGTGGAAAATGAGAGGATTAGCTGGGCTCTGTGGTTTTCTTTTTTCTTTTTTTTTTTTTTAAGACAGTCTCACTTTGTCGCCCAGGCTGGAGTGCCCGTGGCGCCATCTCGGCTCACTGCAACCTCCGCCTCCCGGGTTCAAGCAATTCTCCTGCCTCAGCCTCCTGAGTAGCTGGAATTACAGGCTCACACCACCAACCTGGCTAATTTTTGTATTTTTAGTAGAGACGGCGTTTTGCCATGTTGACCAGGCTGGTCTCAAACTCCTGGCTTCAAGTGATCCACCAGCCTCGGCCTCCCAAAGTGCTGGGATTACAGGCGTGAGCCACCGCACCCGGCCGCTTAGTGGTTTTCGAACTCCTCCTGGTTCTGGCACCCTTTCTTTGGATGAATGCCTGCCTGGATGCATAAGGTAGAGCATCCAGGGCCCCACAAGCTCATGACCCCACTCAATCTCAAACTTGTAGTTCCTAAAGAGCTGTGAGGAACCACCAGCTCGGAGACTGTAACCTTCTCTAACTCTGTGAGCCTCAGTCATATACACTTATGGTTTATCCTTCACGCCTCAGGCCATACAATTAAAATTCACTGCTGCCTTCTAACAGCAGCATGCAAAGAGCTCAAAATCCGATTCTGGAGCTGAAAATCCAGTCTAGATAGCTGAATCTGCATAACTCAATCTAGGAGGCTGGGCATGGTGGCTCTCGCCTATAATCCCAGCACTTTGGGAGGCCAAGGTAGGTGGATCAACTGAGGTCAGGGGTTTGAGACCAGCCTGGCCAACATGGTGAAACCTTGTCTCTACTAAAAATACAAAAATTAGCCGGGTGTGGTGGCGGGCTCCTGTAGTGCCAGCTACTCGGGAGGCTGAGGCAGGAGAATCCTTGAAACTGGGAGGCGGAGGTCGCAGTGAGCCGAGACCTTGCCACTGCACTCCAGCCTGGGTGATGGAGTGAGACTCTGTCTCAAAACAACAACAACAACAAAAACCCCAAATCTAGGAAGAGGCAACAAAAGCAGAGAAGCACTGCCACACAGAATACCCAAACCTTCCAAATAAAGCCCATCTACTTGGTATCTGATAAAATGTACCCAATTGTGTCCTCAGTTATTTCTCAGAGAATTGGTTCAATAACCATTGTTCCCTTCTTTCCTTTCCTCTCCATACTCTCTGTATCTCAGGTTTGGTCTAGTGACTGGGTATTAGCCACTAGGTTGGATATCACTTAATGCAACTATAAAATGTCTTTAGCATTTTATGTATATATCTAAAATATACCCTGACTCCTATTTTAAAACTACAACAACACATCAAGAATTTGACAACTAGTATATAAATTTTATTTTGAGTTTTTTTATCTAAGAGCTTATAATTCATTCCTTTTGGAAATAAAATTTTATAGAATTCCAAAGAAATATGAATTATAGAGAGGAAGACAACAAACTTTTTTTTACTCTTAAATACTAAATTCCTTGGATGAAATGCCTAAATACACAAGTTACAAAATGGGCTTTGAAGAGTGGGATGTTGACAGATTCCCAGAATAAGACTAAAGGTGCATTAAATCACTATTTACTTTAAACTTATAACTGCCTGCCAGCTATGGCCTTTAATCATCAAAGACTTATTGTGTTTAACATTCAATTTGCTGTCTACATGCAACCAATTTCCCCGACACTGCTCTTAGGCAGAAGTTCAAGTTTGAGGAAAGGGCTGATATTTCCTACATCTGTATTGTTAATGTCTAACAACGACTTCAGAGAAAACTCCTTGTCCTATATTAGAAAGTACCTTGGATGCTCTCCAGGACAAAGGTTCCAGAGGGTGCAGGTGAGATACGCCACATGAGCTACCCAGAGTTTATCAAGCTCTAGCAGTACATGTGGGACTGGGCCTTCGGGTGACCTTTGTGATCTTGCTTTTGAGAGGTTTAACCAAGATCATCTGTTTCTTAACTCCGCTCTTCCATTCTGTATACTCTGTGCTTCCCTTGAGCCAAGCAGCAAACGAGAAAGAAAACAAGTATCTAACAGACAGGGTGTTCAAGTCCAGCAGCAAGTCTGTACCTGGGACTAATTAATGGATTCAATTCAGCCATCTCTGGAGTGGACTGGAGTTGACCAGGGAGGAGGGGGCACATTCCAGAGAGGGGAACAATGCAGCTAAGACATTAACAGTTGGCTCAGCCTAAAAGCAAGCCCGACAGGACTGGCAGGCCTGTGTTAATGTGCAGTTGGACAGCAGCAGGGGCCTCTATTCAGCTCGTGTGCACCTGTACAGTCGTGCCGGTTGTTGAAATATTGCAATACTGCTGTATTGGTTATTAAATATTTTGAACAAATATTCCAGGCAGCAGATTACACAGAGTCCCGAAAACAAGGCAGAGGAGCTTTTTGATTGGAGCTGGAAGGAAAGAAGTAGTGTAAGATTGGCCGGGTGTGGTAGCTCACACCTGTAATCCGAACACTTCGGGAGGCCAAGGTGGACGGATGACTTGAGGTCAGGAGTTCAAGACCAGCCTGGCCAACATGGTGAAACCCTGTCTCTACTAAAAATACAAAAAAATAGCTGGGCAGGGTGGTGGGTGCCTGTAATCCCAGCTACTCAGGAGGCTGAGGCAGGAGAATCGCTTGAACCCAGGAGGCGGAGGTTGCAGGGAGCCGAGATTGCACCATTGCACTCCAGCCTGGACAACAGAGCGAGACTCAGTCTAAAGACAAAAGTAGTGTAATATGACATCTCAAAGGGACCTAAACAGAAGAATGTTATGGAAAAGGTGTTCCAGGAACACTCTATATTTTTCTTTCTTTAGAAAGAGGGTCTCACTCTGTCCCGCAGGCTAGAGTGCAGTGGTACAATCATAGCTCACTGTAGCCTCGAACTCCTGGGCTCAAGCAATCCTCCCACCTTGACCTCCCAAAGTGCTGGGATTATAGGCATGAGCCTCTGCACTCGCTCTCAGGAAGCCCTGTTTGGCAGTAGCAGGTCTTCTGCCATATCTCACTAGGAAGGGCTGAGGGGAGGATTTTATAATCCTGCACCTGCTTTAAGTGAAAAGTTGTTTATTTTACCATCATTTCATGAGGAGTGGCTGGGTGGGAACTTCAGGCCAGATGGACTGTGTCTTTATTAGACATATATAGCCTAGTTTTACCCATCTTTACATACTCATACTGGAATGACTAAGGCTTTTGAGGTTTTTCTAACACTCTCAGATTCTTATCAGCCCAGTAGTTTTCTGGAAAGTGCTCTTAAGTCTCATGTCCTTGCTACTAATTTGCTCCTCCAGAGTATGAACAGTGATGCGGCAGTTGGGCACATAGCAAAAGGACAGAGAAGCGTCCATCCAGTTTGGCTCCTAGGGAAGATCATTGGCATCTGAGTAAGGGCAGGCTTAGTCCAGAGGGGAATGGAGGTAGAGGCCATGTGCCTGGGAATGAGGAGCAATCCTGAGATGAAGAAGTGAGGAGGAAGGCAGGCAGCCCCTTCAAAAAGCCTGGCTGGGAAAAGCAGGGCAGGGATAGGCCCATGGTCAGGGGCAGCTGCAAGGTGAAATGGGGAATCCTTTACACAAGTTAAGCCTAAGCCTGGGCCCATGTTCTTGTAACTGGGTTTTGCAGCGGTCCTTGCTATATCCTAAATCTAAGGTCACCCTTCCTTGGCCTACTACTCTTCCAGGGGTTAGAACTGTGACACTGACTCCAACCTGGAAGCTGGGACCTTGCTACTCACTGAGAAGGCACCTGCACACTGCCTGCCACCTGCCTGGATTTCTGGGTATTCTCTCCAGCGTGCCTGTTGCTGGGCTGTGCTGTGCCACCAGAAGACTACGCCACGCCTCCACTGTGAACCCCAACCCCTTGCCAACTCTGTGTCTGGATTTTGACTGAAGAATTTGATAACAGATGATATGACTGAACTCTTACAGTCAAGCCGGGTGCACTGGCTCACACCTGTAATTCAGCACTTTGGGAGGCTGAGGTGGGCAAATCACTTGAGGCCAGGAGTTTGAGACCAGACTGGCCAACATGGCAAAACCTTGTCTCCACTAAAAATACAAAAATTAGCTGGGTGTGGTGGTGCACCCCTGTAATCCCAGCTACTAGGGAGGCTGAGGCATGAGAATCACTTGAGCCTGGGAAGCAGAGGTTGCAGTGAGCTGAGATTGCACCACTGCACTCCAGCCTGGGTGACAGAGCAAGACTCTGTCTCCAAAAAAAAAAAAAAAAAAAAAAACAGAAATTGTAAAAACTATGCCAAGTTAATGAATCCTAATGACCAAAGCTTGGCTCTATTTCACCCAGTAGCTGGGGGAGCCAGGTCCCAAGTTCACCCTTAGACCCCCCATTCAGCTGTAAGCAACCTGCCATACTCTGCCAGTTCTTGAGATAGTCAACTCTATTTTGAGCCAAGCACAAGCTACATGAAGGTAGCCAACAGTGTGTGCCTCACTGAGTAAATACCAGGATGGGCAGAGACCAATGGTGAGTCACCCTGAATGACCCTCCAACTGGAAACCTTGGCTATATTTCCCAATCCCTGGAAGATCAACTTCCTTACAACACATAACAGCAAGTAAGCAAGAGAGAACATCAAACTGGCTTGGGAACTGGAGGTGTTAAGAATCTGAGATAGAATGGTGGCCCAGTAGAGATTAGTGTAAAGGTGGGCATGTCTCTGAGCAAACAATAGATCCAGAGTCATCAGAATTAGATTAAAATGTCGGCAAGAGCCTCCTGAAGGGCCATGGGGAGAGAACCCGTAACTACAGCTACCTATGAACAAGAGGCATGGAAAAGAAAATGGACTCAACTTATAAATGAAAAACCCAGGCCCCTGGACAATTCTGAAACTTAAGGTGGAAAATGGTTAGGTCGGAGTAAACCAGGTTGGGCTGTTAGGGCAGTGACCTCCTTCAGAGTTTAAGGCTGTCACCTCAAGTTCATTGCTTGGTAACAGCAAGATTACCAGTGATAACCTCTCCTAACTGACTTTTTTTTTTTTTTTTAGACAGAGTCTCACTCTGTTGCCCAGACTAGAGTGCAGTAGTGTCATCTTGGCTCACTGCAGCCTCCACCTCCCAGGTTCAAGTGATTCTCATGCCTCAGCCTCCCAGTAGCTGGGATTACAGGTGCCCACCACCATGCCTGGCTGATTTTTGTATTTTTAGTAGAGATGAGATTTCACCATGTTGTCCAGGCTGGTCTTGAATTTCTGGCCTCAAGCGATACACCTGCTTCGCCCTCCCAAAGTGCTGGGATTACAGGCATGAGCCACTGCATCTGGCCTCCTAACTGACTTTTGTAGATAATTTCTCACAAAAGGTAGCTCTGGAATGTTTACAGAAAAATCAACAGCCTTCCATGCTGTGTAAAAGTCTCCTAGTGATGTTAAAATGAAGTTCTCTTTGTGATAGATAAACCTGAGCACGTTTATTTCTGCTTAGGGTGATCTACTAGAGATGGTGTTATTAAATAACAGAACGGCTGGGCTTCCATTTGATTCTAGTGTATTCCCTGCTCCTGTCATGGCTGAAAGATACCATTCTCACTTAGTTCTTGGGAAGCTCTGGGTGATCTGGTCCTTATTTTTTTTTTTTTTTTTGACAAGGTCTTGCTCTGTCGCCCAGGTTGGGGTGCAGTAGCACGATCATGGCTCACTGCAACCTCCACCTCCCAGGCTCAAGTGATTCTCCCACCTCAGCCTCCAGAGTAGCTGGAACCACAGGTGTGTACCACCACACCCGGCTAATTTTTAAATTTTTTTTTAGTAGAGACAGGGTTTTGCTACGTTGTCCAGGCTGGTCTCAAACTCCTGAACTCAAGGGATCCTCTCAAGCGGATCACAAGGTCAGGAGATCGAGACCATCCTGGCTAACACGGTGAAACCTCATCTCTACTAAAAATACAAAAAAAAAAAAAAAAACTAGCCAGGCATGGTGGTGGGCACCTGTAGTCCTAGCTACTTGGGAGGCTGACGCAGGAGAATGGCGTGAACCCAGGAGGCGGAGCTTGCAGTGAGCCGAGATCGCGCCACTGCACTCCAGCCTGGGCGACAGAACGAGACTCTGTCTCAAAAAAAAAAAAAAAAAAAAGAAAAAGGGATCCTCCTGCCTCAGCCTCATAATATACCAGATATGCCAGATAACAGGCATGAGCCACCACTCACAGCCCTGGTCCTTTTTAAAAACAAACCTAGTGGGTATTGTGGCAAAACATATAAAAGTACTACAGAATTGCAGAGTGCACAGCAAAATAAAAATTGTTTTAAAATGTTTAAGTTTGAATAAAATAGTATCAAAAAGTTAATATTCCTCCCTAAAACTCCTTCCACCTCTCCAAAGTGTTTGTTCTATCAAGTTAACAAAACTTGCCTAAATTTATTTGCAGCAGTTCCTTGTCTCAGTGGTATCATCCTCTTGGTCACTTCCCAGGTTAGAAAAAGCTTTCTTTTTCTTCCAATAACAATGTGATTTTAGCTGGGTGTGGTGGCTCATGCCTGTAATCCCAACACTGAGAGGTTGAGGCGGGAGGATCGCTTGGGCCCAGGAGTTCAAGACCAGCCTGGGCAACATAGTGAGATCTCATCTCTAAACAAAAAAAAAAAATAAAATTTTTTTTAATTAGCTAGGCAGGATAACACACGCCTATAGTCTTAACTACTTCAGAGGCTGAGAAGGGAAGATTGCTTGAGTCCAGGGGAACCACAATACTGCACTTCAGCCTGGGCAACAAAGCAGGATCATACCTCGAAAAAGAAAAAAAAAGTGAAACATTTCCTTTGGATTCAGTCAGCTCTGTCATTTGCTAAGTGACACTGGGAAAGTTTCCTAACTTTTCCAAGTTTGTTTCCTCACTTATTAAATGGGAATGATTTCCACTTCTCAGGTATGTGATAAGAATTAAAAGTGGTGATGTTTGGGCTGGGTGTGGTGGCTCACACCTGTAATCCCAACACTTTGGGAGGCTGAGGCAGGTGGATCACTTGAGGTCAGGAGTTCAAGACCAGCCTTGCCAACATGGTGAAACCTCATCTCTACTAAAAATATAAATATTAGCTGGGCATGGTGGTGCACGCCTGTAATCCCAGCTACTCAGGAGGCTGAGGCAGGAGAATTGCTTTAACCAGGGAGGTGGAGGTTGCAGTGAGCCGAGATTGTGCCACTGCACTCAGCCTGGGCAACAGAGTGAGACTCTGTCTTGAAAAGAAAAAAAAAAAGTGATGATGTTTGTGAAATATTTAGCATGGAGCCTGACAGTATAAAACCTGACAGGTAGTAAATGCTCAATAAATGGGAGTGATCACTATTAATGTGCCCTAAAACACTGCAGTGTGGAGTATGCAGAGAGCAATTATCACACCCAGAGCCTTCCATGGGGTAGGATGAGTAAACCAATGTGAATGCTTTTTTTTTATGCTTACTTATTTATTATTATTATTATTTTTGAGTCGGAGTCTTGCTCTGTTGCCGGGGCTGGAGTGCAATGGTGCGGTCTTGGCTCACTACAACCTCCACCTCCTGGGTTCAAGTGATTCTCCTGCCTCAGGCCCCCGAGTATCTGGGATTACAGGCGCCTGCCACCACGCCCGGCTAATTTTTGTATTTTTATTAGAGACAGGGTTTTACCATGTTGGCCAGGCTGGTCTAGAACCCCTGACCTCAGGCGATGCACCCGCCTCGGCCTCCCAAAGTGCTGGGATTACAGGCATGAGCCACTGTGCCCAGCTAGAGGTAATTAAGTTTTGAGGGTGGAAGCCTCATGATGGCATTAGTGCCCTTATAAGAGACATGAGAAAGAGGCTCTCTCTCTAGGCCATATGAGGACACAGGAAGACGGTGGCTGTCTACAAATCAAGAACAGGGACAGCACCAGACACCAAATCTGCTGGCACCTTGACCTTAGACTTTCCAGCCTCTGGAGCTGTGAGAAGCCACCCAGTGTATGGTATTTGTGATAAAAGCCTGAGCTGGCTGGGCGCAGTGGCTCACGCCTGTAATCCCAGAGCAGTGGCTCATGCCTGGGATGACCACAGCGGGTGGATCACTTGAGGTCAGGAGTTCAAGACCAGCCTGGCCAACATGGTGAACCCCGTCTCTACTAAAAACACAAAAATTAGCCAGGTGTGGTTGCGCTCACCTGTAATTCCAGCTACTTGGGAGGCTGAGACAGGAGAATTGCTTGAACCTGGGAGGTGGAGGTTGCAGTGAGCCAAGATCACGCCACTGTGCTCTAGCCTGGGTGACAGAGCGAGACTCCATCTCAAAAAAAAAAAAAAAAAAAAAATCCTGAGCTGACCAGGCAGTACTGCAGTGTGCTAAGCACCCCAGCTGATGAGGAATTGGATCTCCTGAGAGTCCACTCCCTGCCACACACTATGCCTCATGCACTACCTTGTACAACCTTATAACCTCCCCAACAAGGAGGTGCTGTTATCATCTCCATTTTACAAATAAGGAGACAGGTACAGAGGGGCTAAGTGGCTCGCCCAAAGTCAAACCAGGGGAAGAAGCAGAACCAGAATTCCAACCAGGCTGTCTAATCCAGCACGACCACCACTACTACCGTGTAAAATGGTTGTCTTAGCGTTTGAGTACCCCTTCCCATGTTTAGACATGGGTTCCCCAAACAACCTTTTTGGCATAGAATATCCATATTTTTAACAAATACCCCTACATAAATATTTCAACATGCTCCTTATTTTTAGAGCTGTCAACCAATTCCAATTAATAACAGTTGCTTTTCTACAGATTAGTCAACTAACAGGCAATAAAAAGTAAAAACTGAGTCCACACTGAATTCCCTAAGGGAATAGAGCCATTGCCTTGAAGTATTTCAACATGCTAATACTTCTAAAGTTCTGTTCAAACTGGATATGGTTGCTCACTCCCATTATCCCAGCACTTTGGGAGGCCATGGTGGGAGGATCACTTGAGGCCAAGAGTTCGAGACTTGCCTGGGCAACACAGCAAGACCCTGTCTCTACAAAAAAATTAAAAAAAAAAAAGCCATGTATGGTGATGTGAGCCTGTAATCCCAGCTACTTGGGAGGCTGAGGCAGGAGGATAGCTTCAGCTCAGGAGTTCAAGGCTGCAGTGAGCTATGATGGCACCACAGTATTCCAGCCTAGGCACAGAGCAAAACCCTGTCTCTAAATAAATAAATACATACACAAACAAAGTTCTGTTCAACTGCCTCCATTCACTCATTCTAAGAAATGCTGTTGCTACCCAGGGATGATGAACAAAATCAGTTTTAGGGATGGAAAGTCATGTAGAGGCAGCAGGATGGCAGGGAAAAAAGGGAAGGTTAAAGGAACTAAGATGTTAAGTCTAGAAAGGAAAAGGATAAAGAATTATCTAATTCTTGGTCAGTGATATGGTTTGGATTTGTGTCCCTGCCGAAATGTCATGTGGAATTGTCATCCCCAGTGTTGGAAGTGGGGCCTGGTGGGAGGTGATTGGTTCATGGGGCAGTTCCTCCTAATTGGTTTACAGCACCATCCCCTTGGTGCTGAGTTCCCATGAGATCTGGTTGTTTAAAAGTGTGTAGCACCTTCCCCCTCTCTTTCTTCCTCCTGCTTCAGCCATGTGAAGTGCCAGCTTCCCCTTTGCCTTCCGCCCTGATTGATGCCTAGCAGGTGCTTCTATGCTTCCCGTACAGCCTGCAGAACTGTGAGCCAATTAAACCTCTTTTCTCTATAAATTACCCAGTCTCAGGTATCTCTTTATAGCAGTGTGAGAATGAACTAACACAGTCAGGTACTAAATTAAACAGGAGACTTACTGATCCTGATTACTCTGTGTCCTGAAAATCAGCAGAGAATCCCAAACATATTTCTCCATAGAATTCTTGAAGGCAATGACAGTTACACATCCTACCTGTAGTCATCACTGAATTCATCATCATTAAAGCCTACATTTGCTTAGTACCCACAATGAGTTCTTTCTAAAAATATATATTTGGATTTGTTTTTTGTTGTTGTTTGTTTTTTGTTTTTTGTTTTGAGACAGAGTTTTGCTCTTTCGCTCAGACTGGAGTGAAGTGGCACGATCTCAGCTCACTGCAACCTCCACCTTCCGGGTTCAAGCGATTCTCCTGCTTCAGCCTCCCGAGTAGCTGGTATTACAGGCGCCCGCCACCACACCTGGCTAATTTTTGTATTTTTAGTAGAGACAGGGTTTCACCATGTTGGCCAGGCTGGTCTTGAACTCCTGACCTTAGGTGATCCACCCGCCTCGGCCTCCCAAAGTGTTAGGATTACAGGTGTGAGCTACCACACCCGGCCATTTGGATTTCTTAATATTAACGACAACAACATTGACTGAGCACCCATCGATGGCAGAAAAACCATGCTAAGTATCTTACAGGTTTACCTTAAGCTAAACCTGACTGGGTGGAGCAAGCATTCTGATCACCATTTTGTAGACGACTCTGGAGCTCAGAGGGGTTAAGGAACACGCCCCAAGTCACATAGCCAGCAAGTGGCAGAGCTGAACTTTAAATCCAGGTCTGTGTGATAAACCCAGGGGATTAACCAAAACTAACAAGAAATAAATGAATAAATAAATAAATCCAGGTCTGCGGGCCTCCAGACTCAGATCAGGTAATTAATATGAAAGAGAGGGCTTTACCACTAAAGACGGCCACTACCTACATCAGGGAATTATCATTAGTTTAAATAATAGATGTTTCGGCAATCTAGTCAGGAAACCTTGTAGAAAGGTTGTTACTTAAATCCACAGCATACTTCATACAAGGAATGCTAAAGTCTCTATTTTTATTACTCATCACACATAACAGGCCCACATTGCTATTTTCTGAAGTTTTAAAAGAACAAAACAAAAAAAAATTCCACTCTCTCTTTGTTGAACCAAATATTCCCCTGCTTCTGAATTCATTTTGAGGGAGATTAGAAAGAGACCTGAGATTAACAGCAACAATAACAAAAAGACATCCAGGAAACAGCTCCTTGTCATTGCTGTGCCAGGTAAGCTGTCCTTTGAAGTTCCTCCTGAAAGCTTTGCTTAGGTAAGATGTTTTTCTGCCTAAGACAATGAAGCATTCTCAGAGATCTGCTATTGGAAGAGAGAGAAACAAACTATCACACACCCGTATTGCTGCTAGTTGTTTTTAAGTTAGTTTGTTTTAAACTCTGCTTATTACCTGGATCCACATCAGAAGAATAAGGAAAAGAATGGAATTCCAAAGAACTGAAAGCCTCGCTGTTGGCTTCTTGGCTGGGTCCCTGCAGGACGTAATCTCTTATGTCACACGCTGATGGCAGGTCCAAAGCACTGCTCTCCTCTGACAGGCTGCCTGAAGTGGCGTCCCTGGCTGCCATAGTCCTGCCATGGAAAAAAGAAAACAATTCAGTACAAAAGGCACCACATAGCAGGATCCTTCATTGGAGACAGAGCTTGAAGAATTTTATTTGTTTTTTATTTTTATTTTTATTTTTGTAGAGATCAGGTCTCACTAAGTTGCCCAGGCTGGTCTTGAACTCCTGGGCTCAAGCAATCCTCCCACCTCAGCCTCCCAAAGTGATGGGATTATAGGTGTGAGCCACCATACCCACCCAAAAAATTTTAAAGGTCAAACAACAGTGAAATCAGAATGATTTACAGTAGTCCCCCCTTATGTGCGATTTTGCTCTCTGCAGTTTCAGTTGATCTCACCCAACTGTGGTTCAAAAATATTACATGGAAAACTCCAGAAATAAACAATTCATAAATTTCAAATTGTGCACCATTCTGAGTATTGTAATGAAATCTCATGCTGTCCCACTCCATCCCACCTGGGACATTAATTACCCCTGTCCAGCGTATCTGAACTGTACATGCTACCTGCCCCTTAGTCATTCAGTAGCCTTTTCAGTTACCAGATGGACTGTTGTGGTATCACAGTGCTTGTGTTCAAGTAACCCTTATTTTACTTATTAATGGCCCCAAAACACAAGAGTAGTGATGCCAGCAAGTCAGATATGCCAAAGATAGGCCACAAAATACTTTCTTTAGGCAAAAAGGTAAAAGTTGGCCAGGCACACTGGCTCATACCTGTAATCCCAGCACTTTGGGAGGCTGAGGTGGGTGGATCACCTGAGGTCAGGAGTTCAAGACCAGCCTGGCCAACATGGTGAAACCCTGTCTCTACTACAAATACAAAAATTTAGCCAGGCTTGGTGGTGGGTGCCTGTAATCCCAGCTACTTGGGAGTCAGAGGCAAGAGAATCCCTTGAACTTGCGAAGCGGAGGTTGCAGTGAGCGGAGACCGTGCTATTGCACTCCAGCCTGGGCAACAAGAGCAAACCTCCATCTCAAAAAAAAAAAAAAAAAAAAAAAAAAAAGGTAAAAGTTCTCAACTCAATAAGCAAAGAAAAAAATCATATGCCTAGGCTACTAAGATCTACTGTAACAATGAATCTTCTATCCGTGAAATTGTGAAGAAGGAAAAAGAAATTCATGTTAGTCTTGCTGACACACCTCAAACTGCAAAAGTTATAGCCACACGGAGGTTGTAGTGAGCCGAGATTGCACCACTGCACTCCAGCCTGGGCTACAGAGCAAGACTCTGTCTCAAAAAAAAAAAAAAGTTATGGAGTTATGGCCACAGTACATAAGTGCTTAGTTAAGATGAAAAAGGCCTTACATTTGTGCGTGGAAGATATGAACAGAAAGGTGTTCTGATAGCAGTGTGTTGTACCAGAAAGCACAGAACCTACACAAAGACATCAGCAAGGATCCCCTGAAACAAGTGACACCAAGCCATTTACTGCAAGTAAGGGACAGTTACACAGATTCAAGAATAGGTTTGGGCTGAAAAGCATAAAAATTACTAAAAAGGTTGCATTTGCCAGTGAAGAAGCTGCTGCAACATTTTTAGCAGACTTGAAGAAGTAGATTAAGGAGAAAAGATACCATACACAGCAAGTCTTCAATTGCAATAAAACTGGCCTCTTCTGGAAGAAGATGACCAATAGAACCTACATTCATAAAAGTGCAAAGGAAGCACCAGGGCATAAAGCATGAAAAGACTGGAAAGTACCAGATTAACTCTGGTACTCTGTGGCAACGCTGCAGGGCATATGATAAAGCTAAGCATAGTGTACAGAGCAAAGAACCCATGTGCTCTCAAAAGCAAAACCAAAAATTATTTATGCTTGTGTTCTAGCCATATAATCAGAAAGTATGGGTGACAGCTGTCTTGTTTATAGAGTGGTTCCACCAATGTATCAATGGTTCCCAGAAGTGAAAAAATATTTGAAAGAGGAAGGGCTGGAATTTAAGGACCTATTAATAATAGATAATGTACCTAACCATCCTGAATCTGTTTGCCATGAAAATGAAAATGCTGAGGTTGTATTTTTACCTGCAAATACAACCTTTTGCTTCAGCCGCTTGACTAGGACATCATTCATTTTCTCAAGGCCACATACATCTGCCTGGTATTTGATCACATTCAACAGCAATGGATGCAGACCCTAAACTGGAAATAATGTAGTGCTGGAAATCATTCACTATTGCTGATGCAATAGCACTCATCAAGTTGCAATGGATGAATTAAACCACAAACCAAATGCCTGCTGGAAGGACTGATGGAGTGGAAGTTGTGAATGATTTTAAAGGCTTGCCTGAAATTGATAGATGAATTAGGAAAATCATCCATGCAACAAGACAAGTTGATGGAGAAGGATTTGCTGATATGCTTGATGAAATAGAAGGACATACTGAAGGCCTTTGAGAAGTGTTAGCAAATGAGGAACTGGAAGAACTTTCATGTCCTCCACAGAGGAAGAGGAAGATGAAGAAAAAACTAAACCAGAACCAGCCATGTGGACATTACTAAAATTTGCTGAAGTGTTTCAAACTGCACTGACATTAAAGCACAAAATTATGGCATATGATCCTCAGATGGAATGCAGCTTAAAATCGCCTACAACTTCGCAGCAACACTTTTGAGTTAGAGAAAGGCAACAACCTCTGATTAGAATGTTCTTCCAAAAGTTTTCATCAAAAAACACTATCAAGGATCCCCAAGCATTGAGATCTTCATGGCTCAATGATCCAGTATTGCCTGAAGCAGAGGATCCTCCTTCTGATGTAACCTCAGAAAGTCAATAGTAGCCGAACACTAACAGTGCCTGCGCCATTCACCTCTCTTCATCTCATCACATAGGTAATTCCTTTTTTTTTTTTTTTTTTTTTTGAGAAGGAGTTTCACTCTTGTTGCCCAGGCTGGAGTGCAATGGCACAATCTCGGCTCACTGCAACCTCCGCCTCCTGGGTTCAAGCGATTCTCCTGCCTCAGCCTCCCAAGCAGCTGGGATTACAGGCATGTGCCACCACACCTGGCTAATTTTTGTATTTTTAGTAGAGACGGAGTTTTGCCATGTTGGCCAGGCTGGTCTCGAACCCCTGACCTCAGATGATCCACCCGTCTCAGCCTCCCAAAGTGCTGGGATTACAGGTGTGAGCCACAGTGCTCAGCCACGTAGGCATTTCATCATCTCACATCACCACAAAAAGAAGGGTGACTATAGTACAATAAGATATTTTGAGAGAGAGACCACATTCACATAACTTATATTACAGTATATTTTAATAACTGTTCTATTATTAGTTTTGTTGTTCATCTCCTACTGTGCCTAATTTATAAATTAACCTTTATCATAGGTATGTATATATGCATAGGAAAAAACGTAGTACATATTGGGTTCAGTACCATCTGCCATTTCGGGTATCCCCTGGGGGGTCCGTAGTCCACCTCAAGGGTAAGGCAGGACTGCTGTACTTTCCCCTGCTATTGATGGTCTTTAACTCAGTATTTGTTTACCCTGTTTTCTTCATCATGAGAAAGAATTGCTCTCAGCAGAGAAGAAACATTAATAATTTCAGCTGGAAAATAAACTGCATGTCAGAAAAGGGAATGGTTCAATCAGAGAGCACTCTCTCAATGAAATACCACACAGCACCATAACTCAAGGCCTACAAGAATATTTGATAAGGCTGGGTGCAGTGGCTCACGCCTGTAATTCCAGCACTTTGCGGGGCCGAGGCAGAAGCATCTCTTGAGCCCAGGAGTTGAAGACCAGCCTGGGCAACATAGCAAGACCCAATTTTTACAAAAAATTTTAAAAATTAGCCAAGTATGGTGGCATGTGCCTATAGTCCCAGCTACTCAGGAGGCAGAGTTGGGAGGATCACTTGAGCCTGGGAGGTCAAGGCTGCAGTGAGCTGTGATTGTGCCAATGCACTCCAGCCCAAACGAGAGTGAGACCTGTGTCTTACCAAAAAAAAAAAAAAAAACAATTACATGAGAAGAACTGTCCATGATACGTTAAATGTGGTGAGCATAGCCGCCTTCCAAGCAGTTGACCTGGGCTTGATTCCCAGCCAATGTGCCCACGTGCATACACACACATGATATATTCAATGTAAAAAGGTTCTAAAACATTAAGTAGGGTTTGATCCAGATTATATAAAATAAAATGCCATGTGTAAGATGTATGTGTAAGAAATATAGATAGATAAAGCTAGGAGGAAAAATGTCTAGAAGGGTATATCCAGTGAATTAATTTCACTAGTTATCTGGGTAATATGATTACAGGTGATTTGCATTTTCCTCTACGGACCAAACATGCAGTCAGTCAATTATTTAATGTGACAGGCCTGGTGCCAGGCACTGGGAACACAAAGGTGAATGTCACAGACCCTTCCCTCCTAGTTTGGAGTGACCCAAACACAGACACATACCTTGTTAACACAGTGAGTCAAGACAGAAGAGCCCAGAAGGGGCAGGAGGCTTTCTGGAAGAGGTTCTCCCCAAGCGTGGGGCAGGCCAGCCATGGCTAGGGGAAAGTGTGCACTCAGGAAGAACCAGCTCGGACAAGCACAGTGCCACAGCGTATCAGGGGTTTAAAGTGAGTGTCAAGAATTGGCTGGGCGTTGTGGCTCAAGTGCTGTAATCCCAGCACTTTGGGAGGCCAAGGCGGGTGGATCACCTGAGGTCAGCAGTTTCAGACCAGTCTGGCCAACATGGTGAAACCTCTTCTCTACTAAAACTATAAAATTAGCTGGGCATGGTGGCACACACCTGTAATCCCAGCTACTTGGGAGGTTGAGGCCCAAGAATTGCTTGAACCCGGGAGGCAGAGGTCGCAGTGAGCCGAGATCACACCACTGCACTCCAGCCTGGGTGAAAAAGCAAGACTCTGTCTCAAAAAAAAAAAAAAAAAGAATTCGTCACTCAGTGAGTAAACGGGAAAGGACAAACTCTGTGGTCTCAGCTGGATGGCTACAGAGCCCTTCTCCTCCTGTAGCCAGCTCTGGGAAGGCCTGGCTGCTATCAGCAACTTGGATACAAAGACTCTTTAATTAAGCTCTGGAAACCTCCAAGGTGGCTTAGTGGATTCAGCATTTGGACATTACACTAGGTGTTCCCTACCCCTCCATTACTCTCTGACTCATAAGTTGCTGTCATCAATAACTCTTATGATAGCTGGCACCAGGTGTCATGAGTGCCATGGGCACATGCAGAGCAGTTATCAGGTCAGATCTGCAGATTTGACAGCTGGGTAGCAGGTGGACTTGTCGCACTTAAGCCTGGTGGCAGGCAATCTCATGAACAAGAATTCATTCGCCTGCAGTGGTCCGGGTGGGAAAGGAAGAGCACATGAATGAGGTCAGGGACCCACGGGTCAAGAATAGATTCAGAGAGATTAAGAATAGATTTACTAACTGAAATGAGAGTAGAACTTAATAAATGAATAAAGAGGCCAGGCGCGGTGGCTGATACCTGTAATCCCACCACTTTGGGAGGCTGAGGCAGGAGGATTGCTGCTCAAGAATTTGAGACCAGCCTGGGCAACATAGCAAGACCTTGTATCTATTAAAAATTTAAAAAATACATGTTAGCCAGGCAGAGTGGTGCATGCCTGTAGTCCCAGCAACTCGGGAGGCTGAGATGGGATGATCACTTGAGCCAGGCAGTTGGGGATACAGTGATGCGAGATTGTGCCACTGCACTCCAGCTTGGGTGACAGAGCGAGACTCTGTCTCAAAAAGAAAAGAAAAGAAAAGAAAAGAAAATGTGAATGGAGAAATGTGTTAAAGAGGAGCTGAGAGTCAACAAGGAGAGACAGTTTCGGTGACTGGGTTTTTTATTAACTGGGTTAGAGGTGACAGGAAAAGAAACAGTTTTCAGAGGAGGCAATATCCAAATTATGGCATCCTATGCAGCTGTTAAAACGACAGTCAGAACTTCAAAGATCTCAAAAACATATGTTTGCATGAAAGAAGTAATTTCAGACTGGGCATGGTGGCTCAAGCCTGTAATCCTAGCACTTTGGGAGGCAGAAGTGGGAGGACTGCTTGAGGCCAAGAGTTCAAGACCAACCTGGCCAACATAGCCAGACCCTGACGCTATAAGAAGAGAAAAAATATAATTAATTTTAAAAAGAAGTAATTTCAGAATAACATGAGCAGTGTAATCATAAGAGTAGTTCCCATTTATTGAATGCTTGTTAGAGGCCAGGCATTGTGCTAAGAGCTTCATCTGTCACAACCCTATGAGGCAGGTAATCCTATCAGTACCCTCTTTAACAGTCAGACTCAGACACAGAGAGTAGTAAAGTCACTTGCCCAGGGAAACACATCTCGAAAGCAGCCAAGCTAGGATGAACGCAGCCAAAAGTCCTCCCAGCATCCTGTGTCTGCATAGCCCCAGTATTGCAGCCTAAACTACCATGCGATTAGGCAAAGATAGGAGACATATTAAAACAAATCAACAGTGAGACCTGGCAAGATCTTTTTGTTTGAGGACACCCAGTCACGTGCTGTTGTACACATTCGCTCAGGCTGAGAGTGAGCCAAGCTATCAGCTGGTTGGTCTTGAAAGGAATGGAGTGATCAAGGTTCCTAAAGAAGCAAGAACATCCTGTCTTTTCACAGGTTCTATATTAGCCAACCAAGCCTGAAGCTTCAGCAAACACCTCTGCACCAGGCAACTCTGTCCTCCCCCTTCTCCCTTCATGTTACCTAACACTCTGCTCTAGAGGCTTCTGGAAGGGAACAAACGGGTCAATGAATGATGCTGGCATATCCTGCCTGCCTGCAAAGGTGCCGTGAAATCAACCATCAACTGAGAGTGTCATCAGCAATATGAAATGAATGGAATCCTTTTTGAAAACAAATAGCACATTGAAATGATACCTATATTTTCTTTGTTTTCAGAATCACTTAAATGCCAAATACATCACAAACTGGGAACTGGACCACAAAAAGAAGACATGTCAGCTGGGCGCAGTAGCTGATGTCTGTAATCCCAGCACTTTGGGACCCCGAGATGGGTGGATCACGTGAGGTCAGGAGTTTGAGACCAGCCTGGCCAACATAGTGAAACCCTGTCCTCTACTTAAAAAAAAAAAAAAAAAAAAAAAAAAAGGATTTGTGCGTATAAAATACATTATTTGGGACTCAGTGAATTTGTACGGAAGTAAAAAACCAGAAGTGGAGGCAGATTAAACCCTTCCTGTGGTGTGAACAACCTTGGGCCAGCAAGTAGAATGTAATTATTATCCTTTGTCCCAAACCTTTTGATAATGTGGTTCAACTTCCTTCTCTAGAAGTGCTTATTTTCCTCTCTTAAGGGTGATTTAATTACGTGGCCTGGCGTGGTGGCTCACACCTGTAATCCCAGCACTTTGGGAGGCTGAGGTGGGTGGATCACAAGGTCAGAAGTTTGAGACCACCCCGGCCAATATGGTGAAACCCCCGTCTCTACTAAAAATACAAAAAAAATTAGCCGGGTGTGGTGACGTGCACCTGTAGTCCCAGCTACTCAGTAGGCTCAGGCAGAAGAATCACTTGAACCCAGGAGGCGGAGGTTGCAGTGAGCTGAGATCGTGCCACTGCACTCCAGCCTGGGTGACAAAGTGAGACTCTGTCTCAAAAAATAAATAAATAAACAAATATGAAAAAAAGTTATTGTAAATATTCTTTTTTTTTTCTGCGCACAGTGGCTCACACCTGTAGTCCCAGCACTTTGCGAGGCCAAGTTGGGAGGATCGCTTGAGGCCAGGAGTTCAAGACCAGCCTGGGCAACATAGCAAGACCTTGTCTGTAAAAAAAATTAAAATAATAAATAAATAAACATTCTTTTTCAATACTGGAGAGTAGGGTTCCCTGGGTTGCAGGCACAAGAAGTCTCTAAGTATAGGGCATAAAAACCTGTTTACCAGGAGGAGACAGCCATTCTTCTATTACTCTACAGATTCTTACAGACCTACAAATACAAGTCAATCAAGGTGCACACATAAGAAGTGATTTCACTTCACTTATTTTTCTTCCATTCAGCCACTTCCCTCCAAATATTTTGCATGAAAAGTTTCAAACATCCATAGAGCTACCCCTAGACTCTTTCTATGACTTGCTTCATCACACAACGATCCATCTATCCAACTTTCTACCCACTCATCAATTCATCATATTTTTAAAACACATTATTTCCATTTATATCTTAATAAAAGGTCTGATGCCCAGGCTGGAGTGCAGTGGTGTGATCGTAGCTGACTACAGCCTCAACCTCCTGGGCTCAAGTGATCCTCCTGTGTTGGCTTCCTGAGTAGTTGGGACTGCAGGCATGAGACACCATACTTGGCAAAATTTTTTTTTTTTTTTTTTTTTGAGACAAGGTCTCACTATATTGCCCAGGCTGGTCTTGAATTCCTGGGCTCAGGCCAGCCATCTTCACACTCTGGCTCCCCAAAGTGCTGAAATTACAGGCATAAGCCACCTCACTTGGCCTTTACAATCTGCATTTTTGAACACTCTGTTAGCTGAAGGAAGCATGAATTGGAGAACCATACTCATTTGTGGAGTTAAAGAGAATGGGTTTGAACCCCTGCTGTCACTTTTTAGCTGTGTTACTTTGGACAAGTCACTTAACCTGTTCTATAAATAGACAAAGAAATGTATATATATATATATATATACACACACACAAATATATATATATATAAAATATATATATATAAAAATATATATATATATATAAATATAAATATATATATATTTTTTTTTTTTTTGAGACAGAGCCTTGCTCTGTCACCCAGGCTGGAGTGCAGTGGCACGATCTCGACTCACAGCAGCCTCCGCCTCCTGGGTTTAAGCAATTATCCTGCCTCAGTCTCCCGAGTAGCTGGGATTACAGGTGCATGTCACCATGCCCAGCTGATTTTTCTATTTTTTTTTTTTTTTTTTTTTTTAGTAAAGACGGGGTTTCACCATGCTGACCAGGCTGGTCTTGAACTCCTGACCTCAAGTGATCCACCCACCTCAGCCTCTCAAAGTGCTGGGATTACAGGCGTGAGCCATTGCGCCCGGCCAGTTTCCTTGTCTATAAAATGGCTTGATGATGTAAACCAAAAAGTATCTGAGACAGGTCTCAATCAGTTTAGAAGTTTATTTTGCTGACTTTAAGGACATGTCCAGAAGAAATAAACCAGAATCACAGGAACTGCCGGTGGTCTGTGCCTTTTTCCAAAGATGAATTTGAGAGCTTCAATATTTAAAAGGGAAAAGTGGGCTTAGGGGAAAGAGGAAGAGTATGGTTGTCCATGTGTCACAAGAGAAAAGGAACAGGCAGGAGAATCGTCAATTACACATTGGTCTCATGCTCAGTAAATGGGCACTTTACAGAAGATAAGATGAACATACAGTAGCTACCTGTGGAGATATTTAACCTTTTACCTGTAGTATTCTACTTAGGAACAAAAGGAAAGACAGCTTCTTGCATGACTCAGCTTTCAGCTTAATTTGTTCCTTTTGGCAGAGTCAACTGGGGTCCTGACTTTTTATTTTCCTTTTACAATGATAATACTTATCTTACAGGCACAGTTCTTTTTTTTTTTTTTTTTTTTTTGAGATGGAGTTTTGCTCTTGTTGCCCAGGCTGGAGTGCAATGGCGCAACCTCCGCCTCCCAGGTTCAAGCGATTCTCCTGCCTCAACCTTCTGAGTAGCTGGGATTACAGGCATGCGCCACTACGCCTGGATAATTTTGTGTTTTTAGTAGAGACGGGGTTTCTGCGTGTTGGTCAGGCTGGTCTCGAACTCCTGACCTCAGGTGATCCGCCTGCCTCGGCCTCCCAAAGTGCTGGGATTATAGGCGTGAGCCACTGTGCCCAGCCACAGACACACTTCTTTGTGGCAATTAGGTGCTATTTTTTTTTTTTTTTTTTTTGAGACGGAGTCTCACTCTGTCACCAGGTTAGAGTGCAACGGCGCGATCTCGGCTCACTGCAACCTCCGCCTCCCAGGTTCAAACAATTCCCCTGCCTCAGCCTCCCAAGTAGCTGGGACTACAGGCGCGCACTACCACACCTGGCTAATTTTTTGTATTTTAGTAAAGACTGAGTTTCACCATGTTGGCCAGGATGGTCTCTGTTTCCTAACCTCGTGACCCACCTGCCTCAGTCTCCCAAAGTGCTGGGATTACAGACGTGAGCCACCACGCCTGGCCTGTGGTGCTATTTTTACTTTCTCTTTCACAGTCTGCTGCCTTCATATGGCGGGAAATGACAAGTGCCTCCCCCACAATAGCCAAGGGACTCAGCAAGTACCCAAAAAGTGTTGAGCAGGCACTGGTCCCCAAATCCTGCAGGTGAGAAAGACTAACATTTTTGTTATTAAATGTACCTGCTGGTTTGCTCACTTTTATTTCTGCCATTGGCCAAAAGCTCACCCCTCTACATCATTACCCACTCAGAGAGTATGGCTGGATTCCCAGATCCAGTGGGCCTGTGGGGTTAATTCGGGCTAGGGTGAGTTTAGAAGTGACTTAGGCATCAGCTTGTTATTTATTTATTTCTAATTCCCTTCCCTTAAATGCATGTTGTGAAAAATCTAAAGAGAGAAGGTATTTCTAAACCAAAACTGGTGTCAATAAATAAAAGAATTTTTTTTTTTTCTGAGACAGAGTCTCACTCTGTCACCCAGGCTGTTGTGCAATCTCGGCTCACTGCAACCTCTGCCTCCCAGGTTCAAGCAATTCTCTTGCCTCAGCCTCCCGAGTAGCTGGGATTACAGGTGCCCACCACCACACCCATCTAAATTTTATATTTTTAGTAGAGATGAGGTTTCACCATGTTGGTCAGGCTGGTCTTGAACTCCTGACCTCAGGTGATCTACCTGCCTCAGCCTCCCAAAGTGCTAGGATTACAGGTGTGAGCCACCTGTAATTTTTAGTGAAAAAAAAATACTTACCTTCTAGAGATGTCATAAGAATTATATGAAATTAATACATGAGGCCGGGTGCAGTGGCTCATGCCTGTAATCTCAGCACTTTGGTAGGCCGAGGCAGGTGGATGACTTGAGGTCAGTAGTTCGAGAGCAGCCTGGCCAACATGGTAAAACCCCATCTCTACTAAAAATACAAAAATTAGCTGGGCGCGGTGGCGTGCACCTGTAATCCCAGCTACTTGGGAGGCTGAGGCAGGAGAATCACTTGAACCTGGGAAGCGGAGGTTGCAGTGAGCCGATATCACACCACTGCACTCCAGCCTGGGCGACAAAGTGAGCCTCCATCTCAAAAAAAAAAAAAAGAAATTAAGACATGAAAAATATTTAGCACAGTATCTGTGGCTCACTGATGGCTAGCTCTGATAAGTAAAATAGTAATCATTAAGAAACAAATTACAGGCTCCTATCTTCTCAGCCTGCCTCTAGTTCACTTGCTCCTCTGTTTCCCATCCAGGGGCCATTTTGTTTCTTTCATCCTTTTTTTTTTTTTAATTTTACTTTAAGTCCTGGGATACATGTGCAGAAGGTGCATATTTGTTATGTAGGTATACATGTGCCATGGTGGTTTACTGCACCTATCAACCCGTCATCTAGGTTTTAAGCCCTGCATGCATTAGATATTTGTCTTAATGCTCTCTTTCCCCTTGACCCTAACCCCTGACAGGCCCCAGTGTGTGATGTTCCCCTCCCTGTGTCCCTGTGTTCTCACTGTTCAACTCCCACTTATGAGTGAGAACATGTGGTGTTTGGTTTTCTGCTCCTGTGTTAGTTTGCTGAGAATGATGGCTTCCAGCTTCATCCATGTCCCTGCAAAGGACATGAACTCATTGTTTTTTATGGCTGCAGCTTCTTTCATCCTTATCCAGTACGTTCTATGATCCATAATCTTGTTAATGTCCTAAACTTCCCTCCCCCTCCCCATTTTGTCCTTTCATCACACCCCTTTGGCAAAACCCCAGCCTAGATGAACTCAACCACCCCTCACTCTCCATGTGAGTCACCAAACAGGGCAGATTGGCTGTGCTCTAGGTGAACAAGTGTCAACCTGAAACAGGCTGTCTCACTAAATGAATACTAAAATGCTTATTTCGTAACTGTCTCTTCTCTTCTCCTTGACCACTTCATGTTTTCTCCACTCTTCTTCAATGCAGACCCTCCTCCAACACTCACACACCTTCCTCCTCTTTTTCATAATCACCTTGTTGTTTTTTTTTTATTTTTTAGACAGAGTCTCGCTCTGTCGCCCAGGCTGGAGTGCAGTGGCATGATCTCGGCTCACTGCAACCTCCTCCTCCCGGGCTCAAGCAATTCTCCTGCCTCAGCCTCCCGGATAGCCAGGACTACAGGTGCAAGCCACCATGCCCGACTAATTTTTGTATTTTAAGTAGAGACAGGGTTTTGCCATGTTGGTCAGGCTGGTCATGAACTCCTGACCTTAGGTGATCCACCCGTCTCAGCCTCCCAAAGTGTTGGGATTACAGGTGTAAGCCACCAAGCCCGGCCTCATCTTGGTCCTTAATTCACACACACACACATACAGAAGCCAGCAGAGAGGAACTTCCTAAACTCCCCTATCAAACATAACAAAGCCTCCCACACCTGCACTCCACTTCACCTCTCCTTGCAACTGCGGAGCTGACCCTCCCCTAGCAAAGGCCCCCCTCACACACACACACCTGGGTTTTACATCCCACTCTCTAGACCTTTCCAGAAGCCTTCAGCAACAACAATCCCTTCTCTGTTTTCTGTTCGACTGGACCTTTCACTTAAACTCTTCAACATACCCAAATCTCCCCCATTTTCAACAAAAAAGAGGATGTTCATTGGAAATGCCACTTAAATATTTAAAGATAAGGAGACATGATGTCTGCAATATACTGTCAAATATAGATGTATATGTATATGTGTGTGTGTGTGTGTGTGTATAAAAATACAGAGACAGAGAATGATAAAGTAAATGGTTAAATGGTGCAAGTGTAGATAACTGATGAATCTGGAAAACATTATTTGGGAACTCTTTGTACTAGTCTTGCATTTTTTTTAAGATATAAAATTATATCAAAATAAAAAGTTGGCTGGGCACAGTGGCTAATGCCTGCAATCCTAGCAATTTGGGAAGCCAAGGCAGGTAGATTGCTTGAGCCCAATAATTTGAGACCAGCCTGGGTAACATGGTGAAACCCCATCTCTACAAAACAAACAAACAAAAAAAATTAGCAAGTCGTGGTGGCAAGTACCAGTACTCCCAGCTACTTAGGAGGCTGAGGTGGGAGGATCACTTGAGCTCAGGAGGTCGAGGCTACAGTCAGCTGTGATTATGCCACTGCACTCCAGCCTGAGCAGCAGAGCTAGACCCTGTCTAAAAAATTTTTAGACCGTAATCCCAGCACTTTAGGAGGCCAAGGTGGGTGGATCACTTGGGGCCAGAAGTTCGAGACCAGCCTTGCCAACATGGTGAAATCCCATCTCTAGTAAAAATACAAAAAATTATCTGGGCGTGGTTGTGGACACCCATAATCCCAGCTACTGGAGAGGCTGAGGCATGAGAATCGCTTGAAGCCAAGAGGCAGAGGTTGCAGTGAGCTGAGATTGCACCACTGTACTCCAGCCTGG
This sequence comes from Homo sapiens, assembly GCF_000001405.40. Classification (NCBI taxonomy): domain Eukaryota; kingdom Metazoa; phylum Chordata; class Mammalia; order Primates; family Hominidae; genus Homo; species Homo sapiens. Next base: position 5,759,300 of record NC_000020.11, on the reverse strand, counting down.
GCAATAGAGCAAGACTTTCAAAAAAAAAATTAATTAAAAAAAGGTGTCGGCTGGGCACCGTGGCTCATGCCTGTAATCCCAGCACTTTGGGAGGCCGAGGTGGGCGGATCACGAGGTCAGGAGTTTGAGACCAGCCTGGCAACATAACGGAACCCCGTCTCTACTAAAAATACAAAAAATTAGCTGGGCGTGGTGGCGGGTGCCTGTAATCCTAGCTACTTGGGAGGCTGAGGCAGGAGAATCACTTGAAGCCAGGAGATGGAGGTTGCAGTGAGCAGAGATCGCGCCATTGCACTCTATCCCGGTGGGCAGTGCGAGACTCCATCTCAGAAAAAAAAAAAAAAAAAAACTTGTCAAGAAAGATGAGAAAAAAAAAAAAACACATTTGACATCTGCTCTCCTCATAGCTAGTCCCCTCTCCCCTCCACAGACTTCTCAAAAGACCCCACAATTGGCTCATTTCAACTCATAACTTGCAGGTACTTCTTTTCTTTTCAGGATGACCTTCCCAAAGCGTCCTCCCACCTCTTTGCCTGTTCCTATCCTCCATCTCAAAATGGACTTCCTTAAAACTTGGCCCAAGGCCAGGTGCAGTGGCTCACACCTGTAATCCCAGCACTTTGGGAGGCTGAAGTTGGTGGATCACAAGGTCAGCAGTTTGAGACCAGCCTGACCAACATGGTGAAACCCCCCATCTCTACTAAAAATACAAAAATTAGCCAGGCATGATGACAGACACCTATAATCCCAGCTACTCGGAAGGCTGAGGCAGGAGAATCACTTGAACTCAGGGGGTGGAGGTTGCAGTGAGCTGAGATCGTGCCATTGCACTCCAGCCTGGACAACAGAGCGAGACTCCATCTAAAAAAAAAAAATATAAAAAAAAATAATACTTGGCCCAAAGCTCACTTCCTTCCCTTCCTTTCCCTTCCCCTCCCCCTCTCCTTCCCCTCCCCCTCCCTTCCCCTCCCCTCCCCTCCCTTCCCTTCCCTTTCCTTCTCTGAGACATTAATTACCACCAAGAAACATCTCTAGCCCAAATCCCCCCACCTTAGCTTGTACCTCAGGCCCCCTCACTGTCCCTGCATCTGACATAATGGACCTCCTTCAGGTTCTCCAATTTACCCTGCTTCCTCCCACTGCACTTGTCCTTCCTTCCAGCAGAGGTGCATCTCCCTCTCCTGGATAACGCTTCTAACACATGGAAGAGGAGGAAACGCTTCTCAATTCACTCTATGCATCCTGTATTACCCTGACATCAGGGTATTTACCTGCATCAAAGCCAGGTAAAGATAGCGCAAGAAATCAAATCTAGCAACATATAAGAGGATCATACTCTAACATGGACCTAATCCCAGGAATTCAAAGTTGTTTTAACATTTGAAAATAATTGATGTGGACTGGGCATGGTGGCTCATGCCTGTAATCCCAGTACTTTGGGAGGCTGAGGCGGGTGGATCACCTGAGGTCAGGAGTTCAAAACCAGTCTGGCCAACATGGTGAAACCCCATCTCTACTAAAAATACAAAAATTAGCCAGGTGTGGTGGTGGGCACCTGTAATCCCAGGTACTCGGGGGGCTGAGGCAGGAGAATTGCTTGAACCTGGGAGGCGGAGGTTGCAGTGAGCAGAGTTGGTGCCACTGCACTCCGGCCTAGGCAACAAGAGTGAAACTCCATCTCATAAAAAGAAAAGAAAAGAATTGCTGTAATATGCTACATTAGTAGAATAAAGGACAAAACCCAAAACAGATACACACATATACACACACACACAAGTTTTTGACAAAGTCAAACACCCTTTCATGATTAAAATACTCCACAAAGTTAGAATAGAAATAAACTTCCTCAACCTGATAAAGGGCATTTTTGAAAAACCCATAGTTTATCAAGTAGGTTGCTAAGTAAAAAAATAAAAAATAAAGAGAGAAAAAGGCTGGGCATAGTGGCTTACACCAGGCACTTTGGGAGGTCAAGGTGGACAGACTGCTTGAGGCCAGGAATTCGAGACCAGCCTGGCCAACATGGTAAAATCCCATCTCTACTAAAAATACAAAAAATAGCTGGGCGTGGTGGTGTACTTTGTAATCCCAGCTACCCTGTAACTCTCCTGCTAAGGCAGAAGAATCACTTGAACCCAGGAGGCAGAGGTTGCAGTGAGCCAAGATTGCACCACTGTACTCCAGCCTGGGTGACAGAGCAACTCTGTCTCAAAAAAAAAAAAAAAAAAAGAAAGAAAGAAAAAAAGAAAAAGAAAAACCCATAATTAATACCATACTTCATGGTAAAAGACTGAATGCTTTTCCCTCAAAGATTAGGAACAAGATAAGGATGTCTACTCTTATCACTTCTATTCAATATTGTACTAGAAGCCTTAGCCAGGGCAATTAGGCAGGGACATTCAGATTGGAGAGGGAACAGTAAAACTATCTCTATTAGCAGATATGATCTTACATATAGAAAATCCTAGGCCAGATGTGGTGGCTTACGCCTGTAATCCCAACACTTTGGGAAGCTGATGGAAGACGGAGGTTGCAGTGAGCTGAGATTGTCATTGTACTCCAGCTTGGGCTACAAGAGTGAGACTCCATCTCAAAAAAAAAAAAAAAAAAAGAAAGAAAGAAAGAAAATGAAAATCCTAAGGAATCTGCTAAAAAAAATCTTATAGAATGAATAAAGTTAAACAAGGTCACATGATACAAGATCAATGCAGAAAAATCATTCATATTTATGTATGCTAGCAATAAATGATCACAAAATTAAGAACACAATTCCATTTACAATGGCATAGAAAAGAATACAATCCTAGAAATACATTAAAGACATGTAAGATGTATACTGAAAACTATTTTTAAATGTTGGAAGAAATAAAAGATCTAAAGGAATGGAAAGCTATCCCATGTTCGTGGATCAAAAGACTTAATATTTTAAGATGGCAATGTCCCCCAAATAGAAATATCTTTGATATTTAGGTCACTAAAGATCAATATAATGCTTAAAAATTTTTTTTTTTTGTAAAGATGGGGGTCTCACTATATTGCCCAGGCTGATCTCAAACTCCTAGGCCCAAGCAATCCTCCCACCTTGGCCTACCGAAGTGCTGGGATTACAGACATGAGCCACAAAGAAAACCTGAAAAACTAGTTCAGGCGATGATGGAAAGGGGGGTCAGAGATGCCTCCTTATACTTTTCTCTCTTCGAAGTGTAGGCACAACTGACCAGCCTTAACATTAAAATAGAGATCATAAGACTGACAAAACAGATTCTTCATAGCAATAAGATACGCAACTCCAACCTGACTCTGGTATAGCATCACATGACTGCAGGCCCTGAAGGAAATCAAAGGATTTTACCCCAAAACATATTTTCTTTGTCATAGTTTGAAATGGCTCTGCAAAGCCATCTTTTGAGGGGACATTTGCATGCTATCAAAATGTTTTTCCCGCCAGACGTGGTGGCCCATGCCTGTAATCCCAGCACTCCAGGAAGCCGAGGTGGGCGGATCACTTGAGGTTGAGAGTTTGAGACCACCCTGACCAACATGGAGAAACCCCGTCTCTACTAAAAATACAAAATTAGCCAGGCGCGGTGGTGCGTGCCTGTAATCCCAGCTACTGGGGAGGCTGAAGCAGGAGAACCGCTTGAACCTGGGAGGCGGAGGTTGTGGTGAGCCTAGATGACACCATTCCACTCCAGCCTGGGCAACAAGAGTGAAACTCCATCTCAAAAAAAAAAAGAAAAAGAAAAAGAAAATGTTCTTCCCTTACTACAGTAGCCCCCAACCTTTCTGACACCAGGGACCAGTTTCATGGAAGACAATTTTTCCATGGACTGGGGGTGGGGGGACGGTTTTGGGATGAAACTGTTCTACTTCCGATCATCAGGCATTAAATTCTCATGAGGAACACACAACCTAGATCCCTTGCATGTGCAGTTCACAATAGGGTTCACACTCATATGAGAATCTAATACCACCACTGATGTAACAGGAGGCAGAGCTCAGAGAGTAATGCTAGTTCGCCTGCCACTCACCTCCAGACTGGTGCTGGTCCATGGCCCGGGGATTGAGGATCCCTGCCTTAGTAGGTCTCATCCAGAAGCCTCTTTTAAGGCCTTGTAAGAGATATTTAGTACCTATTCTCTCTAAAGCCTGTTACTTAGAGGCTTCATCTATACAACAAGAACCTTGGCTCCCACAAACCCCCTTAACTCAAGCATTTCTCTTCTTTTTTCTTTTTTTTTTTTTGAGACAGGGTCTCGCTCTGTTGCCCAGGCTGGAGTGCAATGGCACGATCTCGGCTCACTGCAACCTCCACCTCCCAGGTTCAACCAATTCTCCTGCCTCAGCCTCCCGAGTAGCTGGAATTACAGGCATGTGCCACCACGCCCAGGTAATTTTTGTATTTTTAGTAGAGATGGGGTTTCACCATGTTGGCCAGGCTGGTCTTGAACTTTTGACCTCAGGTGATCCGCCCGCGTCGGCCTCCCAAAGTGCTGGCATTACAGGCGTGAGCCACCACGCCCGGCCCAACTCAAGCATTTCTTTATGCTGATTTCAACACTTCAGGCAAAGCAACCAATTGCCAATCAGTTTGAATTCACCTATGACCTGAAACCCTCTCCCCAAACATTTATACATTTTGAGGCCTAAAATGTATAAAACCAAGCTGTAATCTAACTACCTTGGGCACAAGTTCTCAGGACCTCCTGATGCTGTGTTACGGGCCATGGTCACTCATATTTGGCTCGGAATAAACCTCTTTAAATATTTTACAGAGTTTGGCTTTTTTCATCAACAATGGGAAAGGAGGTCAGACATACCTTGTTATAACCACCTCTTTTTGGAGTTTAGGCACAAATGACCAGCATTAATGTTAAAAATAGAGATCATGGCCAGGTGCAGGGGCTGACACCTGTAGTCCCAGCACTTTGGGAGGCTGAGGCAGGAAGATCACTTAAGCCCAGGAGTTCAAGACCAGCCTGCGCAACATGGTGAAAACCCGACTCTACAAAAAATACAAAAACTAGCCAGGCATGGTGGTGCCTGCCTGTAGTCCTAGCTACTCAGAAGGCTGAGATGGGAGGATTGCTTGAGCCCAGGAGGTTGAGGCTGCAGTGAGCTGAGATGACACCACTGCATTCCAGCCTGGGTGACAGAGCAAGACCCTGTCTCAAGAAAAAAAAATAGATCATATGACTGACAAAACAGACTCTGTGGCAATAAGATACCAAATTATGGCTAGGTGTGGTGGCTCATGCCTGTAATCCCAGCACTTCTGAAGCGGCGTCGTTTGTCTGCGGTAATACCCAAGGTTCACTGTCTCATGACAAGGAAATCAAAGACGCTAACACACAAGGAGTGTGTTTAAGAGAGGAAAGTCTAATAGGCAAAAGAGAAAAGCTCTCCCATGCAGAGGGAGGGGGGTTCCGAACGGATCTCCCCCATTTGGGGCAAGATGAGGTTGGTTTTATAGATGAGCTTGAGGAGCCAGTGTCTGATTTACATAGGGCACAGAGAGAGGGTTGGTTGGACCAGGTGTGCCTTTAACAAAGCATGCTAAGAGGCTGGCCATCCCACCCTAATCTTTTATTATACAAATAGAGATTTAACCTGGCCAGTGCCATGTTGCTTGTACACGTGGCGACAAAGTAAAGGGAAGAGGAAACCTCTATGTTGAATATACCTGGCTTCCAGAAATCCCTTTTCTAGTGGCACAGCTGCCGGCATTTACCTATGCAAGCTTCCAGCTTGCTTATCTACGCTTGCAGCTTGATTTTTCAGGCTGTTTTTTGTTAGAAATGATTTGGGGCTGCTTTTTATTAAAAGGAAAACTTTACCAAGGACTCCCTAACCCTCGCTAACTGCCTAATTAATTTCTTTTTAGCTTCTGTATCACTTTGGAAGGCCGAGGTGGGAGGATCCTTTGAGACCAGGAGTTCGACTCCAGCCTGGGCCACACGGCAAGACCCTGTCTCTATGTTTTATATTTATATATATTGTTAAAAAAGATACCAAATTATAAACAAGACCTAGGCCATGCAAGACATAGGTTAGGATACATCCTACAGACCATAAAATCTTGTTAAATGGGATTTTCTTTTTTTATTAACCTGGTATAATGTGGCTTATCTTCCAACCTGACACTGGTATAGCATCACATGACAGATAGCAAACCCTGAATGAAATAAAAATATTTTATGTCGGCCAGGTGCGGTGGCTCATGCCTGTAATCCCAGCACTTTGGGAGGCAGAGGCGGGTGGATCACTTGAGGTCAGGAGTTTGAGACCAGCCTGACCAACATGGTGAAACCCCCCCATCTCTACTGAAAATACAAAAAATTAGCTAGGCATGGCAATGCGTGCCTGTAATCCCAGCTACGCCGTAGGCTGAGGCAGGAGAATCGCTTGAACCCAGGAGGTGGAGGTTGCAGTGAGCTGAGACTGCGCCACTGCACTACAGCCTAGGTGACAGGGCAAGACTCCATCTCAAAAACAAACAAACAAACAAAATACAAAAATTAGTCAGGTGTGGTGGTGCACACCTGTAATCCCAGCTGCTCCAGAAGCTGAGACGGAGAACTGCTTGAACCTGGGAAGCAGAGGTTGCAGTGAGCCGAGATCGCACTACTGCACTCCAGTTTGGGTGACAGAACAAAGACTCTGCCTCAAAAAAAAAAAAAAAAAACCCCAAAATATATTTCTTTGACATATTTTAAAATGGCCCTACAAAGCTACAAAGCTGTCTTTTGTAACAGAAATTTGCATCTGTAGAGAATCTCCATTAATGCAGCCAGGATTTCCTTTTCTAGGCCTTTCCCAGATCCAGGAAAGATTAATTCTGACACCTAAATTTCCAAAAAGAGACATTTACCATCTATTCTCTCTTTTTTGTTTTTTTTTTTTTTGAGATGGAGTCTCACTCTGTCATCCAGGCTAGAGTGCAGTAGTGCGATCTCAGCTCACTGCAACCTTTGTCTCCTGGGTTCAAGCAATTCTTGTGTCTCAGCCTTCCAAGTAGCTGGGATTACAGGCGCACGCCACCGTGCCTGGCTAATTTTTTTATTTTTCGTAGAGATGGTGTTTCATCATGTTGGCCAGGCTGGTCTTGAACTCCTGACCTCAAGTGATCTGCCTGCCACGGCCTCACAAAGCGTTGAGATTACAGGTGTGAGCCATGGAGCCCAGCCCATCTCTAGTCATGGCACCTAGCCCATCTATTCTCTGAGGCTGCTACTCACACTTCATCTACGTAACAAGGACCTTGAACCACACAACTCCCTTATCTTAGTTCAAGCATTCTTTTCTACTGACTTCAAGTCTTTAGACAAAGCTTAACTCTCTCAAGCAACTGTCAGCTAAAGAATCCCTAAAATCCACCTAAGACTTCTAAGACCACCCTTGGACATATCCACCTTTTTGGGTCTAACCAATGTATACCTTCCATGTATTGATTTATGTCTTTGCCTGTTAACTCCTGTCTCCCTAAAATGTAAAAAAAACAAACTATAACCCAACTGCCTCGGGATCACTTACTAAAGACTTTTTGGGTTTGTGTTTTCTCTCTGGGCGATGGTCAATCATACTGGCTCAGAATAAACCGCTTTAAAATAGTTTACAGAGTTTTATTTATTTGCTAACAGTCTGACACATGATACAAAGACAAGCTTTGAAAATATTATACATAGTATAAGAAGATAGCCGGGCGTGGTGGCTCACACCTGTAATCTCAGCACTTTGAGAGGCTGAGGCAGGTTGATCAAGAGCTGAGGAGTTCAAGACCAGCCTGGCCAAGATGGTGAAACCTCGTCTCTACTAAAAATACAAAAATTAGTCGAACGTGGTGGCAGGCGCCTGTAGTCCCAGCTACTCGGGAGGCTCAGGCAGGAGACTAGCTTGAACCTGGGCAGCAGAGGTTGCAGTGAGCCAAGATCGTGCCACTATACTCCAGCCTGGGCTACAGAGTGAGAGTCATGAGACTCCGTTTAAAAAAAGAACAAAAGTCATGAAAGAAGCTAGTCACAAAAACATTGACATTATACTTAATGAAAGAAGCCAGCTGCACTGTATGATTTCATTTATATCAAACGTGCGAATTGGCAAGGCTATACAGACAGAAAGTATACTAGCAATTGTCTAGGACTTGAGGCGGAGTGGACGTGGTGAATGTAGAATGACTGCTACTGGAGGCAGGATTTTTCTTTGGAGTGATGAAAGTATTCTAAAATGAGATCACAGTAATAGATGCACAATTCTGTCAACAACAACAAAAAAACCCTTAATGTTACCCTTTATTATTTATTTTTGGGTACGTTGTCTTGCTCTGTCTTCCAGGCTGGAGTGCAGTGGCGCGATCTGGGCTCACTGCAGCCTGGAACTCCGGGGCACAAGCGATTCTCCCACCTCAGTCTCCTGAGCAGCTGGAACTACAGGCGAATGCCACTATGCTAGGCTTGATTTTTTTTTACGCTTTAAATGGGCAAATTTTACTTAGTAGGTGAATAGAAATTTCCCAAGAAAGCTGTTTTTTTGTTTGTTGGTTTTTTAGCAGAACCTCCTGAAGTGGCAGGTCACTGAAAAAATTTAAAAAAAAACAACAAAACCGAAGCTTATCCATACTCACTATCCACAAATTCCCAAAATTCCCCAAAGCACAGGCTGCAGACACCGTGTGTTGGGGCGGAAGGGGCGGGGAGCTAGCAGGAAATCCTGACATGCCTAGGAAAGCCTCCATAACTTCCTAATTGAGAGAGAACGATCAGATGCATTGCTGTGACCCCCGCCCCCACCACTCCAACCCCCCCCCATCCCATCCCGCGCTTACCTCTCCTCCAAAGCACTCCAGAAAACTGAGGAGAAAAGCCGCCAAGCCCCCCGACACACTCACCATCCGCAACCGGAACGCGGAAGCAATGGCGCCATCTTTTTTATGGGAAATGTGAGGTTCGAAGGAAGTCACCGGAGCCATCCTTACTGCGGGCAGTGAAGGGCAATGGAAGCCGGTCGCGGCCATGTTGACTGAGGCTTTTGGCCTGTCAATGAGGCTTGCCACATGTGGCTATTTTGGGCAATTTCCTGAGGAGGCTTGTCGATAAATGTGCTTGGTAAACCCTAAGGGAACAGAAAAAATATTCAAAAATTTAAATGTTGGCCGGGAGCGGTGGCTTACGCCTGTAGTCCCAGCACTTTGGGAGGCTGAGACGGATCACTTGAGGCCAGGAGTTTGAGACCAGCCTGGGCAACATAGGGAGACACTGTCTCTACAAAAAAAATTTTTTTTTAATTAGCGAGGCATGGTGGCACATGTCTGTAGGCCCAGGTAGTTGGGGGGCTGAGGTGGGAGAATTGCTTGAGCCTGAGAGGTCAAGGCTGCAGTTGGCCATGTTCTTGCCACTGCAGTCCAGCCTGGGCAACAGAGCTAGACCTTGCCTTTTAAAAAAAAAAATTCGTCTGGGCTCAGTGGCTCACGCCTGTAATCCCAGCACTTTGGTAGGCCGAGGCAGGAGGATCACCTGAGGTCGGGAGTTCGAGACCAGCCTTACCAACAGAGAAACCCTGTCTCTACTAAAAATACAAAATTAGCTGGGTGTGGTGGTGCAGCCTGTAATCGCAGCTACCCGGGAGACTAAGGCAGGAGAATCGCTTGAACCCAGAAGGTGGAGGTTGTGGTGAGCCAAGATCGTGCCATTGCACTCCAGCCTGGGCAACGAGAGCGAAACTCCGTCTCAAAAAAAAAAATAAATAAAATTCAATGTCTTGGAGAGGGTGGGGTGGCATGCCCCTGTAATCCCACTGCTTTGGGAGGCCAAGATGGGAGGATTACTTGAGGCAAGGAGTTCAAGACCCACCTGGGCAACACAGTGGAGACCTTGTCTCTACAAAATGGTTTTGTTTTTTTTTTTTTGAGACGGAGTCTCGCTCTGTTGCCCAGGCTGGAGTGCGGTGGCGCCATCTCGGCTCACTGCAAGCTCCGCCTCCCGGGTTCACGCCATTCTCCTGCCTCAGCCTCCCAAGTAGCTGGGACTACAGGCGCCCGCTACCACGCCCGGCTAATTTTTTGTATTTTTAGTAGAGACGGGGTTTCACCGTGTTAGCCAGGATGGTCTCGATCTCCTGGCCTCGTGATCCGCCTGCCTGGGCCTCCCAAAGTGCTGGGATTACAGGCGTGAGCCACCGTGCCCGGCCTACAAAATGGTTTTAATAAATAAATAAATAAACTTGAATGTCTACATTTTAAAAATATGAAAAGTAGAAATTAAAGATGAGGATGAAAATATTGTAATATTCTGATGCATGCAGATAACTACATAACTGCCACAACTGCAGGACCACAAAAAAGAGACTGTCTAAAGACAAAATTACAAAATTAAGATTTAGCTTAAAGATCTAATTGGCTTTTGTTTACAATTCTAGAATCAGGCAGCATCTCATTCTATAAGATTGAATGTTCCAATGAGCTGAGCAGACAAGGTTAGCTTCATAGGCAGAAAAGGGGCTAAAGAATGCAGAAAGAGATTTGAACAAAAAGCAAATTGATCGTCCTTTTTTTTTTCTTTTTTTTTTTGAGACAGTCTTACTCTGTCGTCCAGGCTGGAGTGTCCTGGTGCGATCTCAACTTCCATCTCCTGAGTTAAAGTGATTCTTGTGTGTCAGCCTCCCTAGTACCTGGATCACAGGCGTGCACCACCATGCCCGGCTAATTTTTGTATTTCTAGTAGAGACAGGGTTTTGCCATGTTGGCCAGACTAGTCTTGAACTCCTGATCTCAAGTGATTTTCCCGCCTGGGCCTCCCAAAGTGCTGTGATTACAGCCATGAGCCACCGCACCCGGCCCTGCAAATTGATCATTTCAAAGTTACTTTCCTTGTAGGGTTAAAACAGAGAAGACTTCCTTATTATATTTACTCAGATTGACTGGAATCTCCCGTTTTCTGGAAGATGGGCTTGTTTCAAAGTTCAGTTTGATTACATGGCACTTAGCACAAGTAACTCAGTTCTGATTTGGCCTGGCCTGCTGGGGCCTAGTGGAGGAGGTCAGACCAAATCAATTGCCTCTTATAAAATTTAACAAAACTGAGGGCTCTTTTCCCCTTTCACCATTTTCTTGAAAGAGTAGTGTATACTCATAGCCTCCTATCGATGCCTAAATTGGAATAATAACCCATAAATTAGGAGTCCTGGACTTAAGATAAATATTTTACCTATACACTATTTTCTTTTCCTTTTATTTATTTATTTATTTATTTATTTTTTGGAGATGGAGTCTCACTGTGTCGCCCAGGCTGGAGTGCAGTGGCGCGATCTTGGCTCACTGCAACCTCTGCCTCCCGGGTTCAAGCAATTCTCCTGCCTCAGCCTCCTGAGCAGCTGGGATTACAGGCATGTGCCACCATGCCCAGCTAATTTTTTTATTTTTAGTAGAGATGGGTTTTCACCATGTTGGTCAGGCTGGTCTCGAACTCCAGACCTCAGATGATCCGCCACCTTGGCCTCCCAAAGTGCTGGGATTACAGGTGTGAGCCACCATGCCCGGACTTTCTTTTCCTTAAATACTCCATGCTTGCCTTCTCTCAATTCTGAGCTCTTCCCCCATGCAATTTCTTCCCTTACGAACACTCTTCTCTCTTCTTTGATGTTTATCTTCCTTACAATCTCAGCTTTAACCAATTTTTCCTCCAGGAACCTTCTCTGACTTATCTGAAAAGAGTTAGTGGTCCCTTGCAAGAATAGCTCACTTTCCTCTGTTTACCCAGATTGCTCTAAACTCCTTTGTCCTTTCTGCTTTTCCCACCAAACTGTAAGTATCTCAAAGGCAAAGACCACGTTTATCTTTTTCTCTGCTTGTATTTCAGAGCCCAGCTCAGTGACTCACATATAAGTGAAATCATTGTTATATGCACGAATAAATAAGTCTTTTCCCAGGTCTCACCTGTTCCCCACTCCTCATTCACAACCCACTCAACTTTATACCCTCTAAGAAATCTCAGAAACATGACTTCTTCATGGCTTGTTATCAGTGAAACAAACCTTAAAGCCTTTGCTAGTGTCTACCTTTGCTTGAAAAAAAAGTCTAGGTATAAATTAACTCTTATTTATTCTGTTGTGGCTTTTCCATGATGAGCCTTATTTTTCTTTCTGTGGGCTGCTGGTGCAAATTTCTGAAGTCGATAGTGACTTTTTTTGCCACATAAGTGTAACCACCCAGTGGGTTCTTCTTGCCCGTTGCCTAGACAGAGCTGATTTATCAAGCATGGGAATTGCAATAGATAAAGAGTAATAAATGCAGAGCCAGCTGCACGGGAAACCAGAGTTTATTAGTACTCAGATTAGTACCTGAAACTCAGGTATTGAGTTTTTTAAGGATAATTTGGTAGGTAGGGGGATCAGAAAGTGGGGAGTGCTGATTGATCAAGTCAGAGATGAAATCATAGGGAGTCGAATCTGTCCTGTTGCACTCAGTCAATTCCTGGGTGGGGGCCACAAGACCAGATGAGCCTGTTTATTGATCTGAGCGATGCCAGCTAATCCGTCAAGTGCAAGGTCTGGAAAATATCTCAAGCACTGGTCTTAGTTTGTTGTTGTTGTTTTTGTTGTTGTGGAGTCTTGCTTTGTTACCCGGGCTGGAGTGCACTGGTGCTATCTTGGCTTACTGCAACCTCCGCCTCAGGGATTCAAGCGATTCTCCTGCCTCAGTCTCCCAAGTAGCTGGGACTACAGGTGCGTGCCACCACACCCGGCTAATTTTTGTATTTTTAGTAGAGATGGGGTTTCATCAGGTTTGCTAGGCTGGTCTTGAACTCCTGACCTCAAGTGATTCCCCCCTCCCCACCGCCAGCCAGCTGCATGAATCCTAAACCATGATTTCTAACCCTGAGGCTTATTTACTAGTCCTGCAAAGGCAGTCTAGTCTCCAGGAAAGGGATTTGTTTTGGGGAAGGGTTGTTATCATCTTTGTTTCAAAGTGAAGCCATAAACTCCCAAAGTTAGTGCAGCCTACACCCAGGAATGAACAAGGACAGCTTGGAGGTTAGAAGCAAGATGGAGTCAGTTAGGTCAGATCTCTTTCACTGTCATAATTTTCTCAGTTGTAATTTTTGCAAAGGCAGTTTCATAAGCATGCCTCCGACCATACTGTCTTGACACTTTTAGTTAGTCCATGCCTAAGAAATGAAAACTAATTGAAATAAGCATCACAACAAAATCTTGCCAGAGACAACAAAATAGTTTATTGTATTCCCAAAGTAAATTATAAATTGTTTTAGATTCCCTTCTGTTTTGCCATTGATTATATAATGGCTGCATAAATTGGGTTATGCCACAATTTTATGAAGCTCTTCATATTTTGTTGATTCTCTGCCATCAGCTGAGCCAGCTACTTCAGCCAAATCTCTTTCAGCAGAAAAAGTCATTTTAGTTGAAAGACCAAAATAGCTCTTTCAAAGTAGGATGATGTTATTTGCAATTATCTTATCTCTCTTTGCCATTCTGAACCTTGATCTAATTACTTTCTCATCTAAGGACTTGGCTTTAAGAAAGAGATAAGGAAACGTCACAAAAGTTCAAGGGTTAAGTATAATAATTAATGAGTCTCAAGGCATTTTTTTTTTTTTTTTTTTTTGAGACAGGGTCTGGCTCTGTTGCCGACGTTGGAGTGCAGTGCCACAATCTTGGCTCGTTGCAACCTCCACCTCCTGTGCTTAAGCCATCCTTCCACTTCAGCCTTCCAAGTAGCTAGGACTACAGGTACCTGCCACCACTTTCAGCTAACTTTTGTATTTTATGTAGAGATGGGGTTATACCGGGTGCGGTGGCTTATGCCTGTAATCCCAGCACTTTGAGAGGCCGAGGCAGGTGGATCACTTGAGGTCAGGAGTTCGAGACCAGCCTAGCCAACATGGTGAAACACCATCTCTACTAAAAATACAAAAATTGGTTGGGCATGGTGGTGGGCACCTGTAGTCCCAGCTACTTGGGAGGCTGAGGCAGGAGAATCACTTGAACCTGGGAGGTGGAGATTGCAGTGAGCTGAGATCGTGCCACTGCACTCCAGCCTGGGGGGCAGAGCGAGACTCTGTCTCAAAAAAAAAAAAAAAGAAAAAGAAAAAGAAAAAGGCTGGGCACAGTGGCCCACGCCTGTAATCCCAGCACTTTGGGAGGCCAAGGCGGGTGGGTCACAAGGTCAAGAGATCATGACCATCCTGGCCAACATGGTGAAACCCCATCTCTACTAAAAGTACAAAAATTAGCTGGGCGTGTTGGCGCACGCCTGTAGTCCTAGCTACTCGGCAGGCTGAGGCAGGAGAATCACTTGAATCCAGGATGCAGAGGTTGCAGTGAGCTGAGATTGCACCACTGCACTCCAGCCTGGCAACAGAGCAAAACTCCTTCTCAAAAAAAAAAAAAAAAAAGACAAAAAAAAAAAAGACATCTTAGTGCTTTTTCAATCATGCAGTAGTCTAAAGGCATAATTAAACAGTAAGTTGACAGCCAAGAAGAAAAAATATCAGATGGACTGTAAACTCCTTTTTTTTTTTTTTTTTTTTTTGTGAGACGGAGCCTTGCTCTGTCGCCCAGGCTGGAATGCAGTGGGGCAATCTTGGCTCACTGTAACCTCTGCCTCCTGGGTTCAACCTATTCTCCTGCCTCAGCCTCCCAAGTAGCTGGGATTACAGGCGCGAAGCCACCATGCTCTGCTAATTTTTGTATTTTTAGTAGAGACGGGGTTTCACCATGTTGGCCAGGCTAGTCTCGAACTCCTGACCTTGTGATCCACCTGCCTCAGCCTCCCAAAGTACTGGGATTACAGGTGTAAGCCACTGTGCCCGGCCGGTGATAAAGATTTTTATGTGCTTACAATGCTGCCTATCTTCAAGTTTGTTTTTTTTTTTTTTTGAGCTAGAGTCTCATTCTGTCGTCCAGGCTGAAGTGCAGTGTACCATCTTGGCTCACTGCAACCTCCCCCTCCTGAGCTTCAAGCGTTTCTCCTGTCTCAGCCTCCCTAATAGCTGGGACTACAGGTACGTGCCACCATGCCCTGGTATTTTTTGTAGATTGTAGAGAGGGTGTTTCACCATGTTGGCCAGGCTGGTCTCAAACTCCTGACCTCAGGTGATCCACCTGCTTCAGCCTCTCAAAGTGCTGGGATTACAGGCACGAGCCACCACGCCTGGCCTGGGCAATGACTCTTTGAAGTGATTCCAAAAGCATGGGCAACAAAAGCAAAAATAGACAAATGGGATTACATCAACCTAAAAGCTTCTGCACAGCAAACCACAAAGTGAAGAGGCAACCTACAGAATGGGAGAAAATATTTGCAAACTATGCATCTAATAGGGAGTTAATATCCAAAACACATAAGGAATTCAAACAACTTAATGGCAAGGAAAGAAATGACCTGATTTTAAAATGGCCAAAGGATCAGAATAGACATTTCTCAAAAGAAGACATACAAATGGCCAATAGATGTATTAAAAAAGTTCAACATCATTAATAATCAAGGAAAATCAAATTAAAACCACAGTGAGATATTACCTCACACCGGTTAGAATAGTTGTTATCAAAAAGACACACTGTAGGCCGGGCTGGTGCAGTGGCTCACGCCTGTAATCCCAGCACTTTGGGAGGCATAGGCGGGTGGATCACATGAGGTCAGGAGTTTGAGACCAGCCTGGCCAACATGGTGAAGCCCTGTCTCTACTAAAAATACAAAAATTAGCCAGGAGTGGTGACGGGCACCTGTAATCTCATCTACTCGGGAGGCTGAGGCAGGAGAATTGCTTGAACCCAGGAGGCCGAGGTTGAAGTGAGCCAAGATCATGCCATTGCACTCCAGCCCGGGTGACAACAGCAAGACTCCGTCTCAAAAAAAAAAAAAGACAAAAAAAGAAAAGACAAGAGGTAACAAGTGCTAGTGAGGATGGAAAAGGGAACCCTTGTACCTGTTGGTGAAAATGTAAAGTAGTATAGTCATTTTGGAAAGCATTATAGAAAATCCTCAAAAAATTAAAAATAGAACTATCATAAGATCCAGCAATCCCACTACCAGGTATATATCCAAAGGAAAATAAATCACTACCTCATAAAGATATCTGCACTCCCATGTTCTTTGCATCACTAGTCACAATAGCCAAGACATGAAATTGACCAGGCTGGGCACGGTGGCTCACACCTGTAATCCCAACACTCTGGGAGGCCACAGTGGATGGAACGCTTGAGGTCAGGAGTTTGAGACCAGCCTGGCCAACATGGTGAAACCCCGTCTGTAATAAAAATACAAAAATTAGCCGAGTGTGTTGGTGCATGCCTGTAATCCCAGCTACTCAAGAGGCTGAGGCTGGAGAATCACTTGAACCCGGGATGTGGAGGTTGTAGTGAGCCAAGATCACGCCTCTGCACTCCAGCCTGGGCAACAGAGTGAGACTCTGTCTCAAAAAAAAAGAAAGAAAGGAAGAAAGAAATCAGTCTAAGTGTCCATCAATGGATAAACTGATAAAGAAAATATGGTATATACAAACAATGGAATACTATTTAGCCATAAAAGAAAACTCCTGTCATTTGCAACAACACGCAGTGAACCTAGAGGACATTATGTTAAGTGAAATAAGCCAGTCACAGAAAGACAAATACTGTGTGATCTCACTTAAATGTAGAAACCAAAAAAGTTGATCTTGCAGAGGTAGAGAGTAAAATGGTGGGCCAGGCATGGGGGCTCATGCCTGTAATCCCAGTACTTTGGGAGGCTGAAGCGGGCGGATCTCCTGAAGTCTGGAGTTGGAGACCAGCCTGGCCAACATGGTGAAACCTTGTCTCTACTAAAAATACAAAAATTAGCTGGGCATGGTGGCATGCACCTGTAATCCCAGCTACTTGGGAGGCTGAGGCAGGAGAATCACTTGAATGTGGGAGGCAGAGGCTGCAGTGAGCCAAGATTGTGCCACTGCACTCCAGTCTGAGCGACAAAGCTACACTCCATCTCAAAAAAATAAAAATGAAAAAAAGAGGAGAGAGAAAGTAAACTGGTGGTTACCAGGAGATGAGGTGGTTGTGAGGAGGACAGTCTGGAGAGATGATGGCCAAAATTCCAGTTAAATAGGAGGAATAACTTCAAGAGATCTGTTATACATTGTGGTGGTGATAGTCAATAATACATTGTATTCTTGGAAAATGCTAAGAGGGCAGATGTGAAGTGTTCTTACCACAAAAGTGAAAACTATGTGAGGCAATGCCCGTGTTAATTAGCTAGATTTAGTCATTCCATAATGTATGTGTATTTTAAAACATCATGTTGTACATGGTAAATATATACAACTTTATCTTTCAACTTAAAAAGCATATTAATAGAAACATCTCACTGTCAAAGATGTAACAATCACTCAGTTTTTTTTCTCTTTTTGAATATCCACTTGTTTTTTTGACAAATACCTTTGAGTGGATTTTTTTTTTTCCGGATACGGTCTCACTCTGTTGCCCAGGCTGGAATGCAGTGGCATGATTAGAGCTCACTGCAGCCTCAACCTCCTGGGCTCAAGTGATCTATCACCTAACACACCTGAGAAGCTAGGATTACAGGAGTACATCACCATGCCCAGCTGATTTTTTTTTTTATCATTTTTTGTAGAGACGAGGTCTCACTATGTTGCCTAGGCTAGTTTCAAACTCCTGGACTAAAGCAATCCTCCTGCCTCAGCCTCCCAAAATGATGGGATTACAGGCCACCACACCGGACCTCTTCATTTTCCAATCCTGGCAAGTGTATTTCTCAATGCTCCTGACTGCAAAGGTCTTTAAAAGCATTAGACAAAACCCAGTAGGTCTAAGGAAAAGAAGGAGGGTTTAACTACACAGTAATGTGAAAGACACTCTAAACACATACTGGAGCCACATACAAATCAGGCAAGGTCAGATGATACCCATATTATGTAAAGAGGTGCTTCCCGCAGAGCTGCTGTGGAGAGATGTCATGGTCAATTTGTTAGATGGGACAGGCAAAGTTCCAAGACATTGCATGAGTATGCCTGGAAAGACTGTGGTCCAAATACAGTGGTTATCTCCAGAAAGCAGGATTGGGTGGGGCTGGGTCAAGAGAGGACGCTATCATTTCTTACTTTATAAACCTCTATGTTTTAGATTGTTTTGAATTTTTTTTTTTTTTTTTGAGACAGGGTCTCATTCTGTCACCCAGGCTGGAGTATAGTGGCTTGGTCTTGGCTCATTGTAACCTCTGCCTCTTGGGTTCAACCTATTTTCTTGCCTCAGCCTCTGAGTAGCTGGGATTACAGGTGCGCACCACCATGCCCAGCTCATTTTTTTGTATTTCTTAGTAGGACAGGGTTTCACCATGTTGGCCAGGCCAGGCTGGTCTCAAACTCCTGACCTCAAATGATCCTCTTGCCTCAGCCTCCCAAAGTGCTAGGATTGCAAGCATGAGCCACAGTGCCTCGCCTTTTGTTGTTGTTGTTGTTGTTGGGGGCAGAGTCTTACTCTGTCACCCAGGTCAGAGTGCAGTGGCACGATCTTGGCTCACTGCAACCTCCGCCTCCCAGGCTGAAGTGATCCTCTCACCTCAGCCTCCCGAGAAGCTGGGACTACAGGCACACACCACTAGGCACAGCTAATTTTTGTATTTTTTGTTGAGATGGGGTTTCACCATGTTGTCCAGGCTGGTCTCGAACTCCTGAGCTCAGCGATCCAACTGAGTATCCCAAAGTGCTGGGATTATAGGCATGAGCCACTACACTCGGCCTGAACTTTTTTCTTTTTTTTTTTTTTAATAACAAGCACATACTAATTTTGTAATTCAAAACAATTATAATAATGTTAATAATAGCTAAACTTGGTAGAGGGTTCCAGAACTGTAATAAGAGCATGATTTACATGAATTTCTTTATTTACTCTTCACTACAATGCTGTGATTAAGATATTGTTATTCCCTGGGTTCATTCCCCAGCACCTCTTAAAAAAAAGATACTATTATTATGTCCCTTTTACAGATGAAGAAACTGAGGCAGAGAATGTATTAATAGATAAGCCGTGACAGAGCTCATATGTGGCAGAGTTGGCTAAAAAGATATTAAAATACTAAAACTGCAAAGAGCCGGGCGTAGTGGCTCAAACCTGTATTCCCAGCACTTTGGGAGGCCGAGGCGGGCGGATCACGAGGTCAGGAGATCGAGACCATCCTGGCTAACACGGTGAAACCCCGTCTCTACTAAAAATACAAAAAATTAGCCTGGCATGGTGGAACGTGCCTATAGTCCCAGCTACTTGGGAGGCTGAGGCAGGAGAATCGCTTGAACCCTGGAGGTAGAGGTTCCAGTGAGCCGAGATAATGCCACTGCACTCCAGCCTGGGTGACAGAGCAAGACTCTGTCTCGAAAAAAAAAAAAAAAAAACTGCGAAGAGTGCTATTATCTGAAAATGAATAACAATTACTATTCCCAATCTCAGAAAATAATTTGAAAGTTAGTATTAATTGAAGAAAAAAATTGAACCAGAGCATGTTGAACTCATTAATTATTAAATCATTAAAATAGATACAGCAGACAACCCTGTACTGAATAGCTGTGACCCAAATCCTCTGTGTGTTTTAGAAACATCTCTCATGTGTGTTATAACAACCCCAGTGTCAGAGTGCCTCGTTGCTAAAGTGGCTTTCTTAAAGCCCAAGCCATGGAAAATCACTAATAAAAGCATAAATGAAAGAAAAATGTGTAATTAAGAAACTCAGATGCCCCAACTCAATTGAAGTAGAAAATAATCTGAAGACATCGCTTTCCTTAGGCTTATTATCTTTAATTGGCTTCCTCCTTTGTTGTGGATGGCCATATAGACTCAGGAGAGAGGCAAAGTGCTAACTTCATGTCTCCTGCAGGCCGCAGCACCAGCTCCTGGGGCTCCTGTTGTTCCTGTTCTATAAAAAGGAGGCAGCCGGGCACGGTGGCTCACGCCTGTAATCCCAGCACTTTGGGAGGCCGAGGCGGGTGGGTCACCTGAGGTCAGGAGTTTGAGGCCAGCCTGGCCAACATGGTGAAACATGGTCTCTACTAAAAATACAAAAATTAGCTGGGTGTGATAGTGGGTGCCTGTAATCCCAGCTACTCGAGAGGCTGAGGCAGGAGAATTGCTTGAACCTGAGAGATGGAGGTTGCAGTGAGCCGACACCATGCCACAACACTCCAGCCTGGGTAACAGAGTGAGACCCTGTCCCCCCCTAAAAAAAAAAAAAGGAGATAATAAAACCTTTTCTCTGAAAGAGAAAAGCACTTAACCTGCTGTCCACTAATAGTGTCTAGTTGTAAATACTCATTATCAGTAAGTCCTTACAACTGACTGAAGTCAGCATACTTTTCAGAAAAACGGTGAGCCAGATGTTTCTAAACTTCCAAAGGGCAGAGCCAGGCTCTCAAAAGGATGAAGTGGGTGGCTACCCACTAATACCCACAAATTACCTGATTCCTATTTAACAGGTAATTTGAACAGCACAGGGTAGAACATCCTGCCCAAAGTATCTTTTTCACTCTACGTACTTGCAGTTCCACCATTAGAAATGCATTCCTGGACAGATGTGGTGGCTCACGCCTGCAATCCCAGCACTTTCAGAGGCCGAGGCAGGTGGATCACTTGAAGCCAGGAGTTGGAGACCAGCCTGGCCAACATGGTGAAACCCCATCTCTACCAAAAAATACAAAAAATTAGCCAGGCATGGTGGCACACGCCTGTAGTCCCAGCTACTCAGGAGGCTGAGGCAGGAGAATTGCTTCAACCTGGGAGGCAGAGGTTGCAGTGAGCCTAGATTGTGCCACTGCACTCCAGCCTGGGTAACAGAGTGAGACTATCTTAAAACAAAACAAAATGAAATGCATTTCTTTGAGTCCTGTGGAGTCCCCCTTCAAAATGCAAATACTTTCACATCAGCTCTCTGCATAGGCAGTAAGTTTGAAGCTGGGTTATTAGAATGATGCCTAGAAGTCTCTCCCAGAGTCAGGGGGTATCGGAGGCTTCTCAGGAGGGAGACACAGACCTTCTTGCCTAGAACCAGCCCTATGGATCTAAGGGCTGGAAGACTTCCAGGTCAACATAACCCACAGAAACAAGCCCACGCTGACAATCTACCTTCAAACAGCAAGGAAATCTCAACTCTGGCTGGGTTCTCCCTGACATCACATCCTTCCCTACCTGAAAACAGCAGTTTCCCAACAAACAGCAGCTACCCATCAAAGCAGACCAGTGACTCCATAGCAGCTTTTCGGTCTTCTGGTGCACAGCCCTGCAGACCCACAGAGCTGGGGCTCTGGCAGTACTTAGATGCAGACATAGCTTTCCAGGCAGGACACCTGAGACTTTTCCTTCCTCTGAACCCCAGAGGACTGGCTTTTTTTTTTTCTTTTTAATAATATTGTCATTACAGATTTGCTAATCTTTTCTATGGAGCATTAGTCAGTATTCTGCTCTCATTAAGGATGCCAAGGTCCTAATGCCTTTTCCCCTTTACAAAATAACTTAGCCATGTTCACATTCTCTTAGCATGTAATTTACCATCCCCTAAGGCCCAAGGCCATTCTTATGAGCCCTGGGCATGAGGAGATTTTCTTTTTTTTTTTTGGGATGGAGTCTCGCCCTGTCGCCCAGGCTGAAGTGCAATGGCGTGATCTCAGTCATGGCATGAGCCACTGCACCCAGCAGAGGAGATTTTCATAACAGGAAACAATTCATGTGTATTTAATCTGCAGATTGCATGGAGTGGGGGTGGGGTTGTGGCAAAGAAGGAACAAACAAATTGCAAATGTTTAGATATCTTCTGCACCCACAGCCACTTCAGACGTAGACAATCTGCGTCCTACCCTCTTCAGAGAATCATCTCAGAGATTAATAGCATTAGGACTTTGAACTCTGAGCAAGGGCTTAGTCACCCAACCATGTTGCAAAAAGTAGTGAGAGTGTCCTCTGAATTAAGGTGATAAGAAAAACTTACCACCAGCCTTCCCCTAACAGTTGTCCGTAATGTCCCTTTCAGAAACTTCTGAGTTTTTCTACCTCTCTCTGTGTCTGATGTTGCTTACTTGTTTTACTTGACAAACTTAATGAATTGAACATACTTTTAAAATTTGTATTTATTTTGAGACAGGATTTCACTGTGTCACCCAGGCTGGAGTGCTGTGGCACGATCATGGCTCACTGCAGCCTTGATCTCCCACGATCAAGTGATCTTCCTGCCTTAGCAGTCCACCCTATTCTCCCTCCCCACTTCCCACCAAGTAGCTGGGAATACAAGGCATGTACCACCATGCCTAGCTACACAGGGAGTTTCACTGTGTTGTCCAGACTGGTCTTGAACTCCTGGGCTCAAGCAGTCCTCCCACCTCAGGCTCCCACAGTGCTGGGATTACAGGCGTAAACCACCATGCCTTGTCTATGCTTTTTTTTTTTTTTTTTTTAAGATGGAGTCTCGCTCTGTTGCCCAGGCTGGAGTGCAGTGGCATGATCTCGGCTTACTGCCACCTCTGCCTCCCAGGTTCAAGCTGTTCTCCTGCCTCAGCCTCTCTAATAGCTGGGATTACAGGTACATGCCACTGAGCCCAACTAATTTTTATATTTTTAGTAGAGACAGGGTTTTGCCATGTTGGCCAGGATGGTCACGAACTCCTGACCTCAAGTGATCCACCCATCTCAGCCTCCCAAAGTGCTAGGATTATAGTTGTGAGCCACTGCACCCGGCCTATGCTATTTTTAGTAGTAATTAAACTGCTTTTTGCTGACCATCCCTTCATTTCTTTCCTCCTTATGGATCTGTAGGGAAAAAGTTCCCATAATGACAAAGTCAAATTAGAAGGGACTCCTTTGCGTGAGAAGACAATAAAAAGTCAAATAACTCTATTCTCAAGAACTGCCAGGGAAAAGTCACTCATAGGGACAACAACTCCTTTGTAAATTCATCCTCACCAGCTGCACTCACTCAACAGAGTCTGGTCTTTTAGCCAAATACAGGCTCCTCCCCTCCACCAGGATTATTTTAAATTTCCCTCTTCTCCTTCGCAGCTGTTGACTTGCTTCCTCATGCAATTAAACATCCAAACCCATCCAGATCTGGGCCACCTGCTCCTCTTTCCCTTCGTTTAGCACCAAAGTTGATGACAGTCCCTTTTTGTCTTCCTATGCCCTATCCTCTGTCCCAGCATGTTCACAGGATACTCACTCTGTTCATTTTCTTCCCTTCCTTCTCCTCTCCTCTCCTCCCCTCCTCTCCCCTTCCTTCTCTTCCCTTTTCTTCCTTTCCCTCCCCTTCTCTTCCTTTCTGTTCTCCAGCCAATTTCTCCCTCTCAACTTGTTCAATAGACAGATAAGGGGATTAATCCCTTTATCCATAACACATGTAATACATGTTGCAAATTATTTCCTCCAAGTCATTTACCTGTCTTTTGACTTTATTTATGGTGGGGTTATTTTTTAGTTTGCTTATTGTACTTTTTGTCATGCAAAATTTCTTCATTTTATTGTGTGCGTGCGTGTGTGTGTGTGTGTGTGTGTGTGTGTGTGTGTGTGATTTTTTTTTTTTTTAAGACGAAGCCTTGCTTTGTCACCCAGGCTGGAGTGCAGTGGCGCGATCTCGGCTGACTACAACCTCGGCCTCCCAGATTGAAGCAATTCTCCTGCCTCAGCCTCCCAAGTAACTAGGATTACAGGCGCCTGCCACCATGCCTAGCTAATTTTTATATTTTTAGTAGAGATGGGGTTTCACCTTGTTGGCCAGGCTAGTCTCAAACTCCTGACCTCAGGTGAGCTGCCTGCCTTGGCCTCCCAAAGTGCCAGGATTACAGGTGTGAGCCAACATGCCTGGCCTCTTCTTTTTAAATTATCACATTTATTAATCTTTTATTACATCTCAACTTTGAGTTAGAAATACCTTTTTCCACCCACAAGATATAAAGGAATTCATACGTTTTCTTCTATAAAACATGATGGCATAGTTATTGATAGCACTATGAAAATGATGCAGTACCAAAAATAAGTGAGAAATAATTTGTGGGATTTCCACTGCAATTTAATCAGAAGTAAAATATAAACAGAGATGCCCCAGAGGCAAATTTGGTATGCCTTTGATCAGAGATTTGAACAAGCAGAGCTGATGCCAGGTCAAACCATGAGTTAGGTATTCAAAAAGACCCAGAGGAAGCTGAAACAGGGAGTTGAGAAAGACATAGGCATCTGGAATTGACAGAATATAAATGCAGGTGAGGCTGACCACGAGAGCAGGGAGAACGGACAATTTCGGATTAGCTTCAGTTACATATAACAGAAAACTTGTGCATGTAGATTTTTTCTTCATGTAAAAAAATCAGCACTGGACCAGGGGCAGCTGGTCCAGTGCTGATTACAGGCTTCATTATCATACCAGACTAAGATTTCTTCTATCTTGTTTCTTTGCCATTTAAACACGTGGTTTCCCCTTCATGACCCAAAGCAGTTGCTTGAGTTCAAGCCATTGTGTCTGCATTCCAGCCAGGGGGAAACAGGAAGAAAGAATGATGGTCATGCCTGCCCCTTTAAGGACTGGTAATCAAATCATGTACAAAACTTCCAGTTATATCCTTTTAGTCAGAACTTTGTCATGTGACCACATCAAACTTGGAAGACAGGCTTAGAAATGTAATCTTTACTCAAGGAAGCCATGTGCCCAGTTAAGTTAGAATGAATAATAGGGTTCAAGTAACAGTCTCTGCCCCAGCATATAATCAGAAGAATTAAAAGAGGAGCTGTGTCGCAGGGAATGAAATTTGGAGAAAATTCATAGATTGAGCCAATCTTCATATTTCTAGTCCCCACACCAAGACTGCTGAGTACTACACAGCTGCAGTTAGTGGCCACGTACGTGACCACTGACCCTCAAGCAGACCCTGGCACCTCGGTTAATTGTGCACTGGTACCTGGTCAGCTCCCTCTTCCAGTCCCATGAAGCCTGCTTTAAACCTTCACTATCTTCTAAAGCCATTGTCTTCCTCCTTCTCTGACCTCTGCCAACCCGGACAAATGGATGCTTTCAGGCATGAGGTACCTCAGCTTCCCATCTTCCTATCTACAACCTTATCTCCATCATTCTCCCCTACAACACCTATCTTCTAGGGTTTTTGTTTTTGTTTTTAGTTTTTTTGAGACAGTCTTGCTCTGTCGACCAGGCTGGAGTACAGTGGCGCAATCTCGGCTCACTGCAACCTCCGCCTCCTGGGTTCAAGCAATTCTCCTGCCTCAGCCTTCAGAGTAGCTAGGATTACAGGTGTCCACCACTATGCCTGACTAATTTTTGTATTTATAGTAGAGATGGGGTTTTACCATGCTGGCCAGGCTGGTCTCGAACTTCTGACCTCAGATGATCCTCCCACCTCAGCCTCCCAAACTGCTGGGATTATAGGTGTGAGCCACTGCACCCAGCCTGTAAAGTCTTAATTACTTAGAATGCCACCCCCCTTCGTGGTTTTCTTGATCTGGTCCCTACCCACCTCCCCTTGATTGAGTAGGTCTAGGATGGGGCACAATGATTTGTGTTTCTTTTTTTCTTTTTCTTTCCTTTTTTTGAGACAGAGTCTCACGCTGTCGCCCAGGCTGGAGTGCGGTGGCAGGATCTTGGCTCACTGTGAACTCCGCCTCCCGGGTTCACGCCATTCTCCTGCCTCAGCCTCCCGCGTAGCTGGGACTACAGGCGCCTGCCACCATGCCCCGCTAATTTTTTGTATTTTTAGTAGAGATGGGGTTTCACCGTGTTAGCCAGGATGGTCTCGATCTCCTGACCTCATGATCCGCCCGCCTCGGCCTCCCAAAGTGCTGGGATTACAGACGTGAACCACCGCGCCCTGCCAATAATTCATATTTCTAATGAGCTGTCTGATGATGCTGATGCCGCCGATCCGCTTTGTGAGTAGCATTGGTACAGTCCTTTTCCTTCAGAACATTTGTCTCCGTTTGTAATGATAGATCCCTTCCATTCCTTAATTAAGTGGTTCTCAAACATTAGTGTGCACCAGAATCCCCTGGAGGGCTCATTAAAACATAGGTCACTGGCTTCCACCTCCAGAATTTCTGATTCAGTAGGTTTAGAATAGGACTGAAGAATCTGCATTTCCAACAAGTTCCCAGGCGATGCTGATGCCACCTGTCTGTGGAGCACACTTTGATAACCACTGCCTTAGTGCAGGGTTTCTCAGCCTTGGCACTATTGGCATTTTGGGCCAGATCATTCTTTATTGTACAGGGGTTGTTCCGTGTATTGTAGGCTGTTCAGCAGCATCCTTGGCCTCTACCTATTAGATGTCAGTAGCAGCCCCTGCAGTTGTGACAAAAATGTCTCCAGATACTCCCAAATGTCCCCTGGAGGGCAAAATTGCCCCCTGGTTGAAAACCGCTGTCTTGGAGTGATTATCTGATTTCTAACCATCTCCTTGTTCAGTCTCTAAGTTTCACAAGAGCAGGACCTTGTTTTTGTATTCCCAGTACTTGGTATAGACACTCAACAGATATTTGTTCAACAAATGAATGAATCTAAGCCCAGCAGAGTTTGCGGCCCTTTCATTGTTTCTGCTGTAATCCCTTGCTTCTATCCTTTCTCTCATCACCAAAAAGCAAGAAAGAAATCTCCCTGCTGCCACTCTATTCTGGAACGAAAGGATAAACTTCCGGGCTTCTTTGGCCAGGAACATAGGGGCCGAACACATTCCCCAGTCTCAGGCCTTTGTTTAAGAGGGCTGGTCTGTCTAGAAGAATTATATCAATTGTCCCAGAGAGGGAAGAGAAAGCAGTTTTCTTTTTCTAGGATAAGATCAGGGGTGCGATGATGGATTCCCCACCCTGGACACACTCACCCCCCAACACTAGGAGAAGAGATGGATCCAGCCCCTGCCTCTGCAAGAGCTCCTGGGAGGTGGCAGGACTTCAGTGGGAGAGGTCTGTGTGGATGGATGTCTATGGAGGATAAAGTAGCAGTGAGGGTTCTGGCGACCAAACCTGGGGTCATTGAGCAGCTCCATGGCCCAGAGCAGCAGAACATATAGGTAGTGACTATGCTTCCAGTCTTCTTTCTGTTCTTTTGTAATATACACTGTGCTTCTGAAAGTGACATTCTGTCAATCATACTTTAAGCAAAAGAACAACGCAATAATGAGGATCTCATGAACTGTGGCAGGCTGGGAGAAAGAAGAGATTTTGTGTCAAGGTGCTGCTGCTCCCCAGTGTCAGCATGACATTGAGAGCTGCCTGTTATAGCCACAGCTTCGAGCAGCCCAGTCACAAAGACAGCGAGGCTGAGGATCTGGCAACCCTGGTAGACAGCAAGCAGGAGTCAGGAAGCTTGCAGAATTGGCATCACAGTCTGTTCTTGCCTGTGCATATCCTGCCTTCCCTCCTACTGCCACATATCTCTAAATTTGGGGTTGCTTCATGAGCTTGTGCAGTTCTAGCTAAGGCAGTTAGGAAATACATTGTTCCACCCCGGATTGTCTTGAACCACAAAGGCCTTACTCTATGGCCAGCCAGGTCTTCAAGTCAGGTTTTATGAATGCCGGAGGGTAGTGGAAGACTTGTTCATTCACCTGTGGGGAGATTAACAATCATTGCCCTTTCAGGGCTGTGAGAAGGAAATTCTTACAAGGGGCATAGTGAGGGCAGAACTTTCTGGCTCACTGAGAATCAGAGTGTAATTTTATGATGCTTTTCTGGACTAACGGACTCTTTGGTGATATGTAATAGAAGTTATTTGAGCTAGCTTGAGAGACAATAGGGAATTTATTGTACATATATTGGCAGCATTCACAGACCAGGAGCTGGATGTAGGAGGGTTTCAGAAAGGGAGGGACCCTAGAACAGAAAGCAATCTCTCATCTCTTATTCTCTTGCCCATTCTCCTGTCTCTCTCCTAGTCTGTCTGTCTGTCTCTCTGTCTCTCTCTCTTTCTCCCTTTCTGCAGAAAGGCTTTCTTTGCTTTCCCTACCCACATGGTAAACTATGTCCCTGCAAAGTTTCCAAGTTCACATGTGAAAGCTCCAGGCTTCTGCAGACACTAATCAACGTGCTCTCTGTTCCCATACAAAAACTCAGGGAAAGAGAATCTGATAGGGCCATGCACGGTGTCTCACGCCTGTAATCCCAGCACTTTGAGAGGCCAAGACAGGTGGATCACTTGAGGTCAGGAGTTTGAGACCAGCCTGGCCAACATGGCTGACTGTTTTAGTAGAAACCCTGTCTCTACTAAAAATACAAAAATTAGCCAGGCATGGTGGTGCGCCCGTAATCTCAGCTACTTGGGAGGCTGAGACAAGAGAATAGCTTGAACTTGGGAGGTGGAGGTTGCTGTGAGCCAAGATTGCACCACTGCACTCCAGCCTGAGTGACAGTGTGAGACTGTCTCAAAAAAAAAAAAAAGAGAGAGAGAAAGAGAGAATCTGATGGGTACAGCATGGGCCAGGTGCCCAACTTGGGTCCAGACGGCTATGGGTGGTACAAGCAAGTCTGCAAGGACCCATCCTAAAGAGGGGGCAGCTCCTAGATACATGCTGTCTTAGACTGGGTTCTCCCAGAAGAAGACCTTGAATCAGGATTTGAGTAGCAGGTTATTTGTGAGGAAAGTCACCCTCTTCATTCCCTTTGATTGCCTGCAAGGGTTCTCCATTTGCCAAATTCTTAAGCTGGAAGGCAGTGAAGCCCAGGGACACAGCAGGATGGAGAAGGGCACAAGTGAGTCTAAATGGGCACACAGAAAACATGAGTTGGGCCTTTCTCAAGAGAATCCTATTTTTTACATGCCCTAACAAAGATTTGAAAAATAAAATATTCCATTTGTTTAGTTGTAGCTAACTGTAGCATTGAGGCATGGCTAACTTCCCACTTCACAGTTATCATATTTGAGTTTTGAATAGTCTATTGACATGGCATGTATCACTGTTTCATACAACCTGGGGTCAGAAGTGTCAACAAGCCTGGTGCAGCTGTTCATGCCTGTAATCCCACCACTTTGGGAGGCCGAGGTGGGAGGATTGCTTGAGTCCAGAAGTTCAAGGCCAGCCTGGGCAACTCAGTGAAACCTATCTCTACAAAAAAGTTTTAAAATTAGCTAGGAATGGTGGTGCACATCTGTGGTCTCAGCTACTTAGGAGGCTGGAGGGGGAGGATCACTTAAGCCTGCAAGGTCGAGGATGAGATTGATCAAGTGAGCTGACTCAAGTGAGTGAGCTGAGATTGCACCACTGCACTCCAGCCTGGGCAACAGAGCGACACTGTCTCAAAAACAACAAGTGGGGGTGTGTTGCTGGGCATGGTGGCTCACACCTGTAATCCCAGAACTTTGGGAGGGCGAGGCAGGAGGATTGCTTGAGCTCAGGAGTTCGAGACCAGCCTGGACAACATGGTGAAAACCCGTCTCTACAAAAAAATACAAAAAAATTAGCCAGGTGTGGTGGTGCATACCTGTAGTTCCAGCTACTTGGGAGGCTGTGGTGAGAGGATCACTTGAACCCAGGAGGTGGAGGTTGCAGTGAGCCAAGATGGTGCCACTGCATTCCAGCCTGGGTAACAGCAAGACCTCATCTCAAAAAAAAGTGTTAACAAATTCCTGGCCAAATTGAAAGCGTATTCAGATTTATATAAATATGATCCAGGCCTGCAATAACAAACTTAAGCAGTTCAAGTGTCAGATGCGATGTTTATGTTATACCCTATGTGAGTCATTATGCCCCTAAGCAGAAGGAAAGTTTATTTTAGGACAGTGATCTTGGATTTTGTTCTTCATCTCTTCATGTATTGCTTCCAGAAGGCACTGCCCAGGACTTCATTTAAACCCCCATCACATTGATCCAGTCTCAGTTCATAAAGACTTGTAGAAATTAATTCTTCCCAGCTTTCACAATAAACCTCATGCAATATCTAAAACAAACAACCACCAAAAAAAGCTATTTGCATTAGTTTCCTATTACTGCTATAAAAAATTACCAGAAACTTAGTGGCTTAAAACAACACAGTTTGTTGGGTCAGCAGGGCTGAATTCCTTCTGGAGACTCCAGAGAAGAATGTTTCCTTGCCTATTCCAGCTTCAAGAGGCTACCTGCAGCTGGGTGCAGTGGCTCACTCCTGTAATCCCAGCACTTTGGGAGGCCGAGGTGGGAGGATTGCTTAAGCCCAGGAGTTCAAGACCAGCCTGGGCAGCATAGTGAGACCTCATCCTTACAAATAAAAAAAATTAGTTGAGTGTGGTGGGGTGCACCAGGTGCCAGCTACTTAAGAGGCTGAGACAGGAGGATCCCTTGAGTCCAGGAGGTAGAGGCTGCAGTGAGCTGAGATTGCACCATTGAACTTCAGTCTGGGTGACAAGTGAGACCCTGTCTAAAAAAAAAAAAAAAAAGCTGGGCACGGTGCCTCACACCTATAATCCCAGCACTTTGGGAGGCCGAGGAGGGCTATAATCCCAGCACTTTGGGAGGCCAAGGCGGGTGGGTCACCTGAGGTTGGGAGTTCAAGACCAGCCTGACCAACATGGAGAAACCCCGTCTCTACTATAAATACAAAATTAGCTGGGCGTGGTGGCACACACCTGTAGTCCCAGGCAGGAGAATTGCTTGAACCTGGGAGGCAGAGGTTGCGGTGAGCCAAGATCATGCCATTGCACTCCAACCTGGGCAACAAGAGCGAAACTCCTCAAAAAAAAAAAAAAAAGTAATTAATGAATTAATTAATTAAAAAAAGGAGGCTGTCTGCACTCCTTGGCTTGTGCTCTTTCCTTTAGCATCAAAGACAGTGGTGTATTTTCAAGTCTCTCTCTTTCTTTTCTCTTCTTTCCCTCTGTCTCTGTTCCTCTCTCCCTCTCTCACTCTGCACCTGAACCCCCCAAGTTCTGCTTTATTTATTACATCTTCTTCTGAGACTCTGGCCCTCCTATCTCCCTCTTATAAGGACCTTTGTGATTACGTTGATCCCACTCAGCAAATCTAGGAGAATCTCCCCATCTCTCACTCACTTAACACCTCTGCAAAGTCTCTTTTGCCCTGTAAAGTAACATATTCACAGGTCCCAGGGATTAGGATGTGGATATCTTTGGAAGACCATAATTCTACCTATCACATTGTAATTAGGAGCATTCCTTTGGTACTGTAATTTATGAACACCCAAAACTAATTGAGAAGGAAGGGCTATATCATACTATACATTTTCAGGTGATGGTAGGAACCTCTTATAGCAGAAATTTCTAGGAAATGCAGTGGGGTGGAAAAGCACTCTGTTTTAGCCATTCATCAGAGGTACTCACCCTTTTGGAGTTGAGATCGACCTTGGGTCTGGATAGAGTTGGGTGCTGGAGAAAGCAGGAGAAGAGAGAGGAGGAGAAACTGGGGCAGAGATATCTGCTTGGGCTAGTTACAAAGTGTGGTTGTACTAAGACTTCCAAACAGAAAATTTGGTTCTGGGGGAGAAAAAAGGATGTTAGGCATTAGTACTACATTAAACCCAGTAATTCTCTTATTCGTTTGGGGCTGATTCTGCAGAGAGACTTCCTGCTTCATTGACACTTGGCTTTGCCAAATTCGCTTTTCTTAAGCTTCTTCCCTAGGCTGCTTTGCTTAGATTGAATATATTATTGAGTTTCAAGGAGGATCCATTATTATCAAAGTATGTATGTTTACCAATACTTCTCACTTTCTCTATCTTGGCTCTATGTTAACAAACAAAGGATTATCTTTCCCCTTTACCCGTCTGAAGAGAAAGGAATAGTAATTAATTTTCTTCAAACTATGCAAACAGATTCAAAGGCTAGGGTCATTTTTATCCTCTCTACTACCTGAGAAACATTAAAAAGTCTTTTATGCCCAGTGTGGCGCCTTGTATTTTCCAGAGATGGCCACAATAATATCTGCCTTTCCCCTTTTCTTATAATTCAACTGACACTCCTCTCATTGAGGTGTGACCTATGTTCCCTCCCCTTGAATCTGGGTGGGTTTGTGATTGTGGTGGAAATGATATCACGTGACTTCCAAGGCTAGATGATAAGAGTATAGCTTCCCCCAGGTTCTCATGGGATACTCACTGTTAGAACATGGCCGCCTTGCTGTGAGGAAGCCCAAGCAGCACTCTGGAGGCCATGTGTTGGTGTCCCAGCCAACAGCTCAGCTGAGTTCTCAGCCATGCCCTGCCAAACATGCGAGTGAGCAAACATTCAGATTATTTTAGCCAGAACCTGCAAAGTCACTCCTTGCTGATTGAGTCTTTCCAATGAGGCCCCAGGCATTGTGGAGTCCAGACGAGTTGTCCTGGATTTGCTCTTTCTGAATTCCTGACCTGACCCATAAGATACATAGTCATGATAAAATGGTTGCTGTTTTATACTATTAAGCTTGGAGTCATTTGTGCTGCAGGGATAGTAATGAGAATACTCAGGTACGTACAAATGTTGAAAGATAGTGGGCATTCTTTTTTTTTATTTTTATTTTTGGAGATGGAATCTTGCTCTGTCGCCAGGCTGGAGTGTGGAGTGCAGTGGCATGATCTCGGCTCACTGCAACCTCTGCCTCCCGGGTTCAAGCGATGCTCCTGCCTCAGCCTCCCAAGTAGCTGGGACTACAGGCACACACCACCATGCCTAGCTAATTTTTGTATTTTTAGTAGAGACGGGGTTTCACCATGTTAGCCAGGATGGTCTCGATCTCTTGACCTCGTGATCTGCCCACCTTGGCCTCCCAAAGTGCTGAGATTACAGGCGTGAGCCATTGTACCCGGCTGATAGTGGGTATTCTTATCTGCAAACACAATAACCATAGCAAGATGTCTGCAACTTACCACATTTTTCCCCCACCTTGTTTCTTTTCTTTCCTTTAAAAAAATCAGCTGGGCACGGTGGCTCATGCCTGTAATCCCAGCACTTTGGAAGGCCAAGGTGAGTGGACCTCACCTGAGGTCAGGAGTTCAAGACCAGCCTGGCCAACATGGTGAAACTCTGTCTCTACTAAAAATACAAAAATTAGCCGGGTGTGGTGGCAGGCGCCTGTAATCCCAGCTACTCGGCAGGCTGAGGCAGGAGAATAGCTTGAACCTGGGAGGTGGAGGTTGTAGCAAGCCAAGATCCTGCCATTGCACTCCAGCCTGGGCAACAAGAGCAAAACTCTGTCTAAAAAAAAGGAAAAAATCTTTATGTTTTTTAGAGACAGGATCTCAAATTGCCCAGGCTGGCTAAGAACTCCTAGTCTTAAACGATCCTCCCCATTCAGCCTCCCAAGTAGCTGGGACTATAGGTGCATACCACCATGCCCAGCTTCCAACTTGTTTCTAATCTTTATTTTATTAATTTTTTTTTAATTGAGACAAAGTCTCACTCTGTCACCCAGACAGTGGTATGCAGTGGCATGATCTTGGCTCACTCCAGCCTTGACCTCCTGGGCTCAAGTGATCCTCTCACTTCAGCCTCCGAGTAGCTGGGACTACAGGTACACACGATCATGCCCAGCTAATTTTTGTGTTTTTTGTAGAGACAGGCTTTCACCATGTTGCCTAGGCTGGTCTTGAACTCCTGGACTTAAGCAGTCTCCTGCCTTGGCCTCCCAAAGTGCTGGGATTACAGGCATGAGCCATCCCACCCAGCCCAAGCTTGTTTGTTAAAATTAAAAAAAAAAAAAAGTCTCAACCCCATTAATCTAATTCAGAAATTCAAAGCTGGCCTTTCCTTCTTTCTTTCTTCCTCCAAGACAATTCATCTCATCTTTTTTTTTTTTTTTTTTTTTTTTTTGAGAAAGAATCTCGCTTTTTCACCCAGGCTAGAGTAAAGTGGTACGATCTCGGCTCACTGCAACTTCCACCTCCCGGGTTCAAGCGATTCTCCAGCCTCAGCCTCTGGAGTAGCTGAGATTACAGGTGTCCACCACCATGCTCAGCTAATTTTCATATTTTTAGTAGAAACGGGGTTTCACCATGTTGGCCAGACTAGTCTCGAACTCTTGACCTCAGGTGATCCACCTGCCTCAGCTTCCCAAAGTACTGGGATTACAAGCATGAGCCACTGCGCCCAGCCCACTTCATCTTTTCCCAGCAATTGATGTGGCCAGAGTTCAGTGCACTAGAGGTTTAGTGAAACCAAATAGAACCTGGAAACAAATCCCATTTAAAATAATAAGCTTAGTATTTTTCTTAATTTTTTAAAATGTGGTCAGTGAGGCAATAAATCAAGAAGGAAACCCTTTTGGTGAAGACAGGAGGTGACAGTAGGATGGGACAGAATCAGATGCCAAAGCTTGAGAATGAAGTTGCAAATGATGCCCAATTGGTAGAAAAATAGTCTTTTACTTTTCTGAGGTTTCTCCATCCTTAGAATATTAATGATTATACATTTGTTGGAATGGAGTTATTTTCTGAGATAATTTTCTGATCTATTTTGCCAGTTTAAATCCTACAACTCTCTGCCCAGTCTTCAAAATTATCTGTTGACTCAGACTTCAGGAAGTAATTATTTCCTGATAGAGTGCATTGTGAAATATGTTACAAGAAGGAAACCACTCTTTCATTCAACAAATATTTGTATTGGCTCTGTGGACCGGAGGGACAATAAGAAGAGATGATGGATAAGATGAGAATTTTGGGTACGGTAGACAATTGATTCAATCAATCTAAACAAAGTGTTGTGTGATTTAATTAAGTGGCCTGATACTGACACTAAGAAATTTGCTCATTTCTGGCCAGGTGCGGTGGCCCACACCTGTAATCCCAGCACTTTGGGAGGCCGAGGCAGGCAGATCACAAGGTCAGGAGTTTGCGACCAGCCTGACCAACATGGTGAAACCCCGTCTTTACTACAAATACAAAAATTAGCTGGGCTTGGTGGTGCATGCCTGTAATCCCAGCTACTTAGGAGGCTGAGGCAGGAGAACTGTTTGAACTTGGGAGGTGGAGATTGTAGTGAGCCGAGATTGCGCCACGGCACTCCAGCCTAGGTGACAGAGCGAGACTCTGTCTCAAAAAAAAAAAGAAAAAAGAAATTTGCTTATTTTTCTGCCTAGGCATTTAATGTTACCCTGTGTTCTTTGAAATTCTTTTAAATAATGCAAAATAGAGAATTAGCTTTTTTTTTTTTTTTTTTTTTGAGACAGTGCCTTGCTCTCTTGCCCAGGCTGGAGTGCAGTGGTGTGATCATGGCTCACTGCAGCCTTGACCTCCCAAGCTCAAGGGATTCTCCTGCCTCAGCCTCCTGAGTAGCTGGGACTACAGGGGCACACCCTTACATCTGGCTGATTATTTTGAGTTTTAGTAGAGACAAGGTCTCACTATGTTGCCCAGGCTGGTCTCAAACTCCGAGGCTCAAGCAATCCTCCTGCCTTGGCCTTCCAAAGTGTTAGATTACTGGCATGAGCCAATGTACCTGCCTGAATTCACCTTAAATAGGTGAATAACGCCCCTTGAATATTTGTGTATATCAAGTACCTTATTCTTTCTTTTTAAAATTTAATTTAGTTTTTTAAAATTTTTCTTTTTCTTTTTTTTTTTTTTTTGAGACAGAGTCTCACTCTGTCACCCAGGCTGGAGTGCAGTGGCGTGATCTCAGCTCACTGCAATCTCTGCCTCCTGGGTTCAAGCAATTCTCTGCCTCAGCCTCCCGAGTAGCTGGGATTACAAGTGCCCACCACCTCGCCCAGCTAATTTTTGTATTTTAAGTAGAGACGGGGTTTCACCATCTTGGCCAGGCTGGTCTTGAACTCCTGACCTCGTGATCCACCTGCCTCGGCCCTCCCAAAGTGCTGGGATTACAGTCGTGAACCACCTTGCCCGGCCTCTTTTTTAAAATTTAAAACTATTATCTTTATTTTTTTCCAAAAAGCCTTTTGCTCTCCTGACAAGTACTTATTCTTTGAAATGGCAGCTACTTATTCTTTTGAATGTTACTGCTTTTTCTGATAGGTAGTTCAAGAAAGCCAAGACTAGCTTACAAGTGTGCTGATGGCTACACACTGTGATTTTCACATTTTATTAACACTTGACTTCACTTAAAAAACCAACCTGTGGAAATAGCAGATTGAGAAAGCACGGATAGTTGAAATTCTCTGACATTTTCTAAGTTGCGGTATTATACTGCCCACCTCCTCCCCACCAGCCTTCCACAGGATGCAGGGGTTTGCTACAAACAGGCTGAATACGGTTTTGCAACTGCCTCTCCCTGAGGTGCTGCTGTTAATCAAGAAAAGGTGATGGCCTTTGAAGTCTAGTGGCGTACATAATCACCCTCCTGACGCACTGATACCACTGGATGCTTCAAGGCCGGCTGCAGTGGCTCACACCTGTAAGCCCAGCACTCTGGGAGGCCAAGGCAGGCCGACCGCCTGAGGTCAGGAGTTCAAGACCGGCCTGGCCAAGGTGGTAAAACCCTGTCTCTACTAAAAATGGAAAAATTAGCCGGGTGTGGTGGCAGGTGCCTGTAATCCCAGCTACTCGGGAGGCTGAGGTAGGAGAATTGCTTGAACCCAGGAGACAGAGGTTGCAATGAGCCGAGATCGCACCACTGCACTCCAGTCTGGGTGACAGATCGAGACTCCATCTCAAAAAAAAAAAAAAGAATGCTTCAAATTTTGTCTAATTGATTCTATCTTAAGTAGAGATCAGAACTTTAGAAATATTTATGTAGTTAGTTAGTTTTTGAGACAGAGTCTCACTCTGCCACCCAGGCTGGAGTGCAGTAGTGCCAACTCAGCTCACTGTAGCCTCTGCCTCCCAGCCTCAAGCCATCCTCCCACTTCAGCCTCCCAAGTAGCTGGGACTATAGGTGCGCAGCCCCACTATGCCCAGATAATTTTTTTGTATTTTTGGTAAAGACGGGGTTTCTCCATGTTACCCAGGCTGGTCTTGAACTCCTGAGCTCAATCAATCCTCCTGCTTTGGCCTCCCAAAGTGTTGGGATTACAGGCATGAGCCACTCCGCCTGGTCAGAACTTTAGAAATATTAACTCATTTAGTCCTTGCAACAATCATTAGGAGTAGATACTATTATTACATCCTGATTTTAAAGACAAGGAAACTCAGGCACAGGTAGATTAGGTGACTTGTCCAAGGTCACAGTGAGTGGGAAAATTGGGATTTGAACCATGAACTCTGGCTTCAGAGTCCATGCTCTTAGCAATTAACACCATGTCACTATCGAGAATTAGCTGGCGCACTGGCTCACATCTTGGGAATGTGATTGCAGCACCTTGGGAAAGCCAAGAAGAAAGGATCACTTGACCCCATGAGTTGTTTTTGTCTTTTTGTTTTTTGGGTTGTTTTTTGTTTTTTCGTTTTTGTTTTTGTTTTTGACAGTCTCGCTCTGTTGCCCAGGCTGGAGTGCAGTGGCGCATTCTCAGCTCACTGTAACTTCCTCCTCCTGGGTTCAAGTGATTCTCCTGCCTCAGCCTCCCTAGTTAGGAGTTGGGATTACATGCGTGCACTACCACACCTAATTTTTTGTATTTTTAGTAGAGATGGGGTTTCACCATTTTGGCCAGGCTGGTCTTGAACTCCTGACCTCAGGTGATCTGCCTGCCTTGGCCTCCCAAAAAACTGGGATTACAGGCGTGAGCCACCCTGTTCAGCCAACCTTATAAGTTTGAAAGTAGCCTGGACAACATAGTGAGCTCCCCTGCCGCTGAACCCCCAACTCTGTCTCTACAAAAAAAAGAAAAAAAATTGTTTTAGTTAGCCAGCACCTCTAGTCCCAGCTACTTGGGAGGCTGAGGTGTGAGGATCACCTGAGCCCAGGAGGTTGAGGCTACAGTGAGCAGTGATTGTGCCACTGTACTACAGACTGGGCGACAGAGCAAGACCCTTTCTCAAAAAAAGTTGTTTTTGTTTGTTTGTTTGTTTTTAGACAGAGTCTCGCTCTGTCACCAGGCTAGAGTGCAATGGCATGATCTTGGCTCCCTGCAACCTCCGCCTCCCGGGTTCAAGCGATTCTCCTGCCTAAGCCTCCCAAGTAGCTGGGACTACAGGTGTGTGCCACCAGCCCAGCTAATTTTTGTATTTTTAGTAGAGATGGGGTTTCACCATGTTGGCCAGGATGGTCTCCATCTCTTAACCTCACGATCCGCCTTCCTCGACCTCCCAAAGTGCTGGGATTACAGGTGTAAGCCACCACGCCTGGCCTAAAAAGGTTTTTTTTTAAGTTTATATTTCTCTTTCTTAAAAATATCACTCCAAAACAAAAATTCTAACAGGCCAAATTGATGGTGCATTTTGTCCTTGTCCTAGGCTCACCTATCTGCTAATTGCTAGTTAGAAGCAATGATTTATAGCCTTTTGTACTTAATTTTGACCTACAGAACATTAGGACGTATTGTTTTGGAGAGCCCCTTCTTGGAAAGGATATGTTCACTGTTGGCATGCAGACCCTGCTGGATCTAGTTTGCACAACATTTTCCAGTGAAACAGTCGGTTTTCAGAAGCTGCCAAGCTTCTGAGATAAAACCTGGGATAATGCTCATACCAGAAATATGTAAAGGGCGGATAATCTTCTCAAGAACTGCAAACTGGTAAGCTGGATGGGCTTAACTGGTCACTTAAATGCATTCTACCATTCCATGATATCTCTATTTATAACTTTATATACCACCGTCTTTGGTGGTTATGCACTTATTGCTAACGCCAAGTGGGAAGTCTAAGATAATTATAGGGTAGATTCAGTTCATTTATATTGTCAACATTAGGTGGCTTGTCTGTGGCACTTCTCTTGAACATCTCCACCATTGCTTTACCACCACCCTCACCACACAATGAGTTAGTTTGGGAGGAAGCCCACAATATATTGCAGCTTCTTCCATCCAGAAATAGAGTCAAATTTTTTTGGTGTTTTGAATCTAGGCTTGGCTAAGTAACTTGCTTTGTCCAACAGGACATTAGCAAATGAGATGCAAACAGAGGCTTGAAAAACACTTGTGCATTGAGGCTTAGCCTCTTGTTGCTGGAAGCTCTTCTGCCATCACGTGAACAAGCCCAGGCTACCCTGCTGGATGATGAGTGGCAAGTGACTAAGTCATTCTGTCACCCCAGCTGATATCAAACCAAGTGCCAGACAAAACAAAGAATTACCTGGCTCAAAATGTCAATAGTGCTGAGTTTGAGAAGCCCAGAATGAACGACTAAATGAATGAATGAATCTGACGTGAAATTGACTGTGTTGTCCACTGAGTCATACCTTGCCCTAGCCTTGCTGCTTTATCTATTGGTTGCTTCTGGTTTCCAGCAGATACTGCTAGTTCTACAGTGGGATGACAGCCAGAACCGGATGCCCATGACTCATCTTCACTGGCCACTTCCTTCAGGGGTCCCCAGTGTCCTCCTCCCACACCAGCCTCAGACTGTTGTCCTGAATTGGATGTGCAGACGATATGGTGTATTGGGTATCTTGCAATTGCCCCTTCAGATCCAATCTCGACCTTTCTCCATTCTGTTCTGCATCCTGGAAGGCTGACCTTTGTGAATGACTTCAGTGGGCTACTTCCCTCTGCCTTCCCTTTGGATTCAGCCAAGGAGGGTACCGACGGGAGGTAAATAAGGCTGGAGAATTGATGTTCCTGGATTCCTCCCTGTAGATTGCTGTGTAGGTTGGCTTCATCCTCCTGCTGATGGCCTGAGCTTCTAGCAGAAGGTTGCTTCTAGCGTAAGGTTCCTGGTCTCTTTAACTATAACTACTACTGCCCCTTGTCCCTTCAGACCTAGGGATATAAAGGGCTTCCCCCTCTTGGTAGCCTCCTTTCACTGAACCATTCATTTTGGTTTCCCTTGCCTGACCCTCACCTTTGTAAACAGTCTATGAAATTCTCCTAATTACCCTATTTGCATGTGACATCAGTTTCCTG
Organism: Homo sapiens; assembly: GCF_000001405.40. Taxonomy (NCBI): domain Eukaryota; kingdom Metazoa; phylum Chordata; class Mammalia; order Primates; family Hominidae; genus Homo; species Homo sapiens. The sequence continues at coordinate 5,719,482 of NC_000020.11, read as the reverse complement.
CTGGGAAAAACACTGCAACTCACAAGACTGCCATCTGCTTTACTTCAAGAAAGACCTGCAATCTGTGAAGACCTGTAATCTGTAAATACCTGCTGCCTTGTCTCATCCATTGTATTTGCTCATCTTAGATACCAAGAGCAACTTGGAGCAAGCTGAGTGCACCACAGTCTTTTGGACGATGGGTAGTCTATGGTGTTAGTCCATTCTGAGGTGGACCATATAGTCCATGTCCCTTCCCTCCCATGCCACCCACTACCATATCTCACCAGTCTGAGCCCCAGGATTAAACAAGCACTCTTCCCAAGTGCTTCATGCTACCTAGGCAGTAAGCCCCAGGATCCATTGCCTGCTGAGTTGTGACATGTTGGACTTGAATGACCCATCCTTTCCTGACCTTCTGCCCAGCTCTGAATTCTGGGCACCTGCCCACTGGCACAAAATCTGCTGCAGCTTTGCCAAATGTGGCTATGTGCCTGGCTCCTGCTCTCTTAGCCTCTCTTTGCAGTATATATTTGATGTAATGTTATTACAGTCACTTTCAAATGTGTGCTCATATAGATTCCAGACATCATCAGATGCTTTCTCTGTCCTTTTGGTAAGATGTTCAGAGCATTCAAAGAAAAACAAAAAGGAGATCTAAATTCAGTATCTTTATGTCAATTTTTTTTTTTTTGAGACAGATTTTCGCTCTTGCTGCCCAGGCTGGAGTGCCAGGTGTGATGGCTCATGCCTGTAATCCCAGCACTTTGGGAGGCCAAGGTGGGGGATCACTTGAGCCCAGGAGTTCCAGAACAGCCTGGGCAACATGGCAAAACCCTGTCTCTACAAAAATTAGCTGGGCATGGTGGTGTGTGCGTATAGTCGCAGCTTCTCTGGGGAGAGGGGTGCTGAGGTGGGAGGTTAGCTTGAGTCCAGGAGGTTGAGGCTGCAGTGAGCTGAGATCTTGCCCTGCACTCCAGCCTGGGAGATAGAGTGAGATATATCCTATTTGGATTACTTATATCTTTTTTCTTTCATATGTGAGAAGATGAAAAACACAATTTTCAATGTTTGCCTTTATTACCAACTTTGTATTCTCTGTAAGTAGGCTACTTAATATATGGTCAGTATACACACAACACAGATGAACCTCACTAGCATGGTGAGTGGAAAAAGATAGGCACAAAATGATACACTGGCGGGGCACGGTGGCTCACGCCCGCACTCCTAGCATTTTGGGAGGCCGAGGTGGTCAGATTGCCTGAGCTCAGAGGTTCGAGACCAGTCTGGGCAATATTGTGAAACCCCATTCCTACTAAAAATACAAAAAATTATCCAGACATAGTGGTGCATGCCTGTAGTCCCAGCTACTTAGGAGGCTGAGGCACAAGAACCCGGGAGGCAGAGTTTGTAGTGACCAGAGATCTTGCCACTGAACTCCAGCCTGGACAACAGAACAAGACTCTGTCTCAAAAAATAAAAATAAAAAAAAAGAATAAGAAAACTAAAATGTTAGGCCAGGTGCGGTGGTTCACGCCTGTAATCTCAGCACTTTGCGGGGCCAAGGTGGGTGGATCACGAGGTCAGGAGATCAAGACCACCCTGGCTAACATGGTGAAACCCCGTCTCTACTAAAAATACAAAAAATTAGCTGGGCGTGGTGGCGGGCACCTGTAATCCCAGCTACTCAGGAGGCTGAGCCAGGAGAATGGCGTGAACCTGGGAGGCGGAGCTTGCAGTGAGTCGAGATCGCGCCACTGCACTCCAGCCTGGGTGACAGAGCGAGACTCCGTCTCAAAAAAAAAAAAAAAAAAAAAAAAAGTCAGAACAGATATGGTTGTAATTCTCTAAATCTAACTTTTCAATCACAATTTGTTAGAATGTGTTTCAAAGTTTCAAATTCTGCCTCGTTTCTTCAAGAGTAGATGGATGTTCCACTCATCTATGAGGACCTTCTAGGTTTGGTGGGAGACGGGAGCCCTGCTTTTGCCCCGATGTGCCCGGTGGATATGGTCTTCTTTCCTCTAGACTGGGCTCTTGGTACTTGCCACTGGGTCTGTCTTCCTGTTTCCTGCCTCATTCCCTGTTCAGGGCAGACCAATTTCCAGAGTCTCTTCAATTCCAGTCTCTCCCACGCTGCTGTATGAGCTGGCGTTTGACAGGAACCAATATATAACAATTTCAACCACAGTACTAGGAATATGGGACAACCTGCAGGACTGAATACCTTCTTAGTCTGCTTAGGCTGCTATAACAACATATAATAATCTGGGTAGCTTATAAACTACAGATATTTATTTTTCAAAGCTCCAGAGGCTGTGAAGTCCAAGATCAAGGTGCTGGCAGATTCAGTGTCTGGTGAGGCCCTGATTCATAGATGGCACCTTATAGCTGTGTCCTCACATGGTGGAACAGATGTGCTAACTCTCTGAGATCTCTTTTATAAGAGATCCAGGCTAGGCGCGGTGGCTCACGCCTGTAATCTCAGCACTTTGGGAGACTGAGGCAGGCAGATTTGCTTGAGCTCAGGAGCTTGAGACCAGCCTGGGCAACATGGCAAAACCCTGTCTCGACAAAAAATACAAAAATTAGCTGGGTGTGGTGTGTGTACCTGTAGACCCAGCTACTCAAGAGGCTGAAGCAGGAGGATTGCTTGAGCCCAGGAGGCGGAAGTTGCAGTGAGCTGAGATCACGCCAGTGTGCTCCAGCCTGCTGGGTGGCAGTGTGAGACCCTGTCTGAAAATAAAAATAAAAATAAAAGATCTAATCCTATTCATGAGGGTTCTACTCTCATGATCTACTCACCTCCCAAATGCTCTACTTCCTAATAGCATCATATTGGTGATTCAATTTCAACACGGAAACTGGGAGAGCAGGGAGCAACACAAACATTCAGACCATAGCAGCTCTTGTAGGAATAACTTTAGATTCAAATGACTGGTGATTTGAAACATTTGTCCCATTCTCCCAAAAAAAAAAGACCCTTAGACAAGGACTTGGGTACAGGTCATTTATTTGGAAGGAGATCCCAGGAAGCCCAGTGAGAGGGAAGGGAGGAGACTCACAAAAGGGTAGATTAATAAATAAGTCCCCACTTAGGACAGCCCTAGCTCAATGGGGCCCCTCTGAGAGAATGGGTAGAAGAAGCCTCAGAAACATCACACCAAAAGACTGGAAAGCTGTGGTATTTACATGCAGTTATAAACTGAATGTCTATGTATCCCCCAACTAAATGTATATATTAGGAACCTAAACCCCAGTGAGGATGTATTAATATTTAGAGATTAGACCTTTTGTAATTACAGTTGGCCCTTGAACAACACTGGTTTGAATTACTTGGGTCCCGTTATATGTGGAATGTTTCCAATAAAAATTAACACCATGTGTGCCTCTCCTGCTTCCCCTTCTACCTCCTTCACCTCCGCAACCCCTGAGACAGCAAGACCAATCCCTCCTCTTCCTCCTCCACCTCCTCAGCCTACTCAACACTCAGACAAGAATGAAGACCTTTATGATGATCTGCTTCCACTTAATGAATAGTAAATATACTTTCTCTTCTTTATGGTTTTCTTTATCTAGCTTACTTTATTGTAAGAATACAGTATATAATACATATAACACACACCAACTGTTTATGTTATCTGTAAGGCCATCTATAAGGCTTCTGGTCAACAAACAATGGTCTATTAGTAGTTAGTTTTATTTTTCCATGTCCTAATTCCTTGAGGTAGTTAAGTTTTTGAGGAATCAAAAGTTATATGTGAGTTTTCAACTGTGTGAGGGGTTGATGTCCCTAGCCCCTGTGTTGTTCAAGGGTCAAGCATAAGGTTATCTGAGATCATAAGGGTGGGGCCCTGATCTGATAGGATTAGTGCCCTTATGAGAAAAGACACTGGACAGCTTGCTCTCTCTTCCCATGTGCATGCACTAAGGCCTTCTCACTAAGACCTCCTCACATGGCCTTTCCTGCAAGCCAGGAAGAAAGCCTTCATCAGAAACCAGATCAGCCAGAATCTTGATCTTGGACTTCTAGAATCAAGAACTGTGAGCAAATAAAATTGTGTTGTTTAAGCCACATAGTGTTTAGTATTTTGTTATGGCAGCCTGAGTAGACTAAGACATGCGTCATCTTTCATTATCACTGGTTGAAGATTTCCCTTGAGGGTGCTGCAGGTGGCTTGAGGTGGGGAGCCTTGTCAGCACATACAGAACCTTCCTCCCTGGCTGCAGGTGAACTGGGAGTGGAGCCAATGGCACATGGAAAGGCCACACTGAGTGTGCTGTCCCATTGTTTCTAATCTTCGACTTACAGATGCTGCCACATTGACTATTCTATCCATGTGCTTGTTTTGCACACGTTGCGCTATAAATTAGGGATAAAGTTGCTCCATCAAACGGTATGGATGCCCAAATTGTTCTCCTAAAGAGATTATGTCCATTTACATTCCACCAACAATATCTGTTTTTCCACGCCCTTTCTGATACAGTTTATCAGTCATTTTGATCTTGCCAGCCTCTTAGGTAGAACAGTGTGTCATTGTGGTTTTCACAGGTAAATGTCTTCTAACTCAGTGTAACAGAGTGTGAGGCAAAGGAGGGGGAAGAAAGCTTCCCTGCTTCTTTGGCAACCTCAGCTCATACATGAATTCTTCACTGAGGACACGGATACACCAGCAACCTCAAAGGTTATAGTGTCTTTGTCCTGGTTAGGGCAGGAAGCAACTCCCCTTCAGTATATTGTCTGACTTCCCTGGTAACCATGGTAACAATGTCAGTGTCAACAAAGTCAGCAGAAGTAGCTTCACAAGCATCAAAGAACTTAGAACAGACTAAAGCCCAGGAAACTACAGTGGGAGTGGGGGCAGGGGTGGTGTAAGGGTACATACTGCATGGTAGTAGCTATGTTTGTGAGCTCACCTAAGTTACTCCTGTTCATTTCCAGAAGAGGTAGATTCAGAGACAGAGAAAAGCCACATGTGCTGTTATAGAGTTCCTGTAATTTTATCTCCGAATTCGTTCTACAGCTATTTTACTAAGCTTCATCATAGACATATATTGCTGTACAAGGGAGAAGGACTCTAATATTCAAGCAGTTGAAAAACATTATTTGCTGTCAACTCCACTATTCCTATAGATGAACTAGAAATGGGATGACTGTGTAGAGCACTCAAGGTCAAAAGGAAGGTTGCAGGGAATTTATGGGAAAATCTGGGAAACACAGATCTAAGGACATGTAGGCAAAGGGCTGTAAATGGATAGGACTGTATAGTGAGAGTTCTGGCCAGGCACAGTGGCTCACACCTGTAATCTCAGTACCTTGGGAGGCTGAGGTGGGAGGATCTCTTGCGGCCAAAGAACTCGAGACCAGCCTGGGCAATATAGTAAGACCCATCTATACAAAAAATAAAAAAGTTAGCTGGGCATGTGGTATGTGCCTGTAGTTCCAGCTACTCAGGAGCTGAGGTGGGAAGATGACTTGAGGCTGGGAAGTTGAGGCTGCAGGGAGCCATAATCACATCACTGCACTCCAACCTCGGGGCAGAGCAAGACCCTGCCTCAAAAAAAAAAAAAAAAAAAAAAAAAAAAAAAAAAAAAGAAAAAGAAAAAGAAAAAAAGAAAGAAAAAGAAATTTCCCGGGTAAAAGTTTAAATGCCTATTCTTTCATTTTTAAAAAACATTTTACTTTTTCTTTTGAGTCTCACTCTGTCACCCAGACTGGAGTGCAGTGGCCTGATCGTGTCTCACTGCAACCTCTGCCTCCTAGGTTCAAATGATTCTTGTGCCTCAGCCTCCCAAGTGGCTGGTATTACAGGTGTGTGCCACCACTCCCGGCTAATTTTGTTGTTGTTGTTGTCATTTCTTGTAGAGATGAGGTTTTGCTATATTGTCCAGGCTGGTGTCAAATTACTGGACTCAAGTGATCCATTCACCTTGGCCTCCCAAAGTGCTGGGATTACAGGCATGAGCCACTGCACCCAGCTGATTGTGTGGTTTAAAAACATAAATTATTTTATCAGACAATAATTCTGAGGGAGACTCCATTCTAGAGGCTGGAAAGTCCAAGATCAAGGTTCTGCTAGGGTTTCTAATGAGGCTGCAAATAGCCACCTTCTCTCTGCATGGCAGAGAGAGAGAAAGTGAGCTTTCTGGTGTCTCTGCTTTAAGTGCATGAATCCTATCAGAACAGGTACCCACCCTTATAACTGAAGTTAATCTTAATTACCTCCTTATATAGGACCTGTCTCCAAACACAGTCATATTGTGGGTTAGGGCTTCAACATATGAATATAGGGGTGCACAATTCAGTCCATAGCAGATGGAATAAACATATTTGATACAACTGAAAGGATAATTCATAAAGTAGAAGATAGGTCAGAAGAAACTATCCAGGATATAGCGCGGAAAGACAAAAAGACATAAAGCACACAAGACTTGAGAGGAGATCTAGAGGATAATGGAAGAAGGTCTAGTATATATTTAACCCGAGTCTTAGAAGAAGAAAAGACAAAGAATGAGGCAGAAGCAACATTTGAAAAAATATATACCTAAGAATTCTTGGAACTAATGAAGGACATCAACCCACAGATTCATGAAGCCTAACAAATCCCAAAGAGTATAAATTTTTTTAAATTAACGCCTAGATATGTTATGAAGACACTTCAGAAACCAAAGAGAACAATTTTAAAGTATTCACAGGAAAAAGAGATTCCTTTCAAAAGACTTATTTACAGGAGCTAGAAGAGAATGGAATTATATCTTCAGTTGGCTGAAAGAAAATAACTGCCAATGTAGAATCCTACTGACGACAAAAGTATCCTTCCAGAACAAAGGCAATTACAAGTACAAGTTGGGGGTAAAAGGCAACATAAAAACATTTTAGACAAACTGAACAAGAAGACTTCAACCACCAGCAAACATGCATTAAAGGAAAATCTAACAGGCATTATTTCGGGAGAATGAAAATGATCCAAAATGAAAATCAGAGGTGCAAGAAGGAATAAAGAGCAAATAATTGCTATATATGTGAGTAATTTTAAATAAGCATTCAGTATACAAAACAAAAATAGGCGGGGTGCAGTGGCTCATGCCTGTAATCCCAGAACTTTCGGATGCCAAGGCAGAAGGATCACTTGAGGTCAGGAGTTCAAGACCAGATTGGCCAACATGGTGAAACTCCGTCTTTACTAAAAATACAAAAATTAGCTGGGCATGGTGGCACGTACCTATAATTCCAGCTATCTGGGAGTCTGAGGCACAAGAATTGCTGGAACCCGGGAGGCAGAGGTTGCAATGAGCCCAGAACGCACTGTTGCACTCCAGCCTGGGCAAGAGAGTGAAACTCCATCTCAAACAAACAAAAACAAAATAATAATGTCACATGGAATCTTAACAGAATTAAAATATAAAGGGAGACAATTGTTTCAATGTCATGATGAAGATTAGAGGTTAGAGGATTTCAGATTTACAACAACAAAGTTATTTTATGCATGCATGTATGTATGTATATATGTATGTATGTATTTTTTGAGATGGAGTCTCACTCTGTCGCCCAGGCTGGAGTGTAGTGGCGTGATCTTAGCTTACTGCAACCTCTGCCTCTCAGGTTCAAGTGATTCTCCTGCCTCAGCCTACCAAGTAGCTGGGATTACAGGTGCGTGCCACCATGCCCAGCTAATTTTTGTATTTTTAGTAGAGACAGGGTTTCACCATGTTGGCCAGGATGGTCTCGATCTCCTGACCTCGTGATCCACCCACCTCGGACTCCCAAAGTGCTGGGATTACAGGTGTGAGCCACTGTGCGCGGCCATGTAATTTTTTATTTTTTTTTTGAGATGGAGTCTTGCTCTGTCGCCCAGGCTGGAGTGCCATGGCACGATCTCGGCTCACTGCAAGCTCCGCCTCCTGGGTTCATGCCATGCAATTTTTTAGAGATGAGGTCTTAGTAGGTATGTTGCCCAGCCTGGTCTTGAACTCCTGGGCTCAAACCATCCTCCTGCCTTGGCCTCCCAAATTGCTGGGATTACAGGTGTAAGCCACCACGCCCGGCATTCTTCTTCTTTTCTAAGAGTAGAAGTGTTTTTGTAGCTGTAAGGGTAGAATACCTAAAAATCAAGGAGAAAATTCAATGTTTGATTACATTAAGCATATTTCTAGAAGTATGGGACATGTCTTTAACTTGTTTCAACTTTTAATATCCATTATGAGTAAATTAGGGGATAAAAGACACGTAAGACTAATAAAAATAAATTCAGATCAGAATGAGAGAAGACCTGGAAGACAGTGTGAGAAGGTCTAGTATATATTTAACACAAGTCTTGGAAGAAGAAAAGATAAAGAGTGAGACCCTGTTCACAACCATCAATAATAAACAAAAGAATAAAACACCAATTAAGCAGCCCACCCCAACAGACAAAGTAATTTGACTGTGGATACCCTTGGTGAGCTCACACTCCCTTCTTTTGTCTAGGTACCAATTCTTCACTAAGTTTACATTGCAATTCATCTCCCCTATCTAATTAATGAGATTATATTCAATTTCTGTTCAGAAATTGTCTTATGTAAGAGTCAGTGTTTGGTGACACAAAAAAGTAGTAAAGAATCAAGGAACATCCAGGGTCTTTGGAAACTGCTGGCACATCAGATATCAGTGGCATTTCTGAGCCTGCTACCTGCTTATTCCTGGAAGTCTCTGCAGGGTTGCCGACCAGAGGTATCATTTTCTCTCTGACCTCCTGTCTCTCCTGAAGCTTTTGTTCCATGTTGATCACATTACTGGGGTGTTCTATTTTAAGGCTAACCTTAAATGACTTGAATTCTTTTGCAAAAGCAGAGTTGAACAATTGGTTTCCTTCCAGCAGGCCTTCTGATTTATCTGTTCCATCAATGGAGTGGACTGTCAAAAGGATGACCACAGCGTATGGTGGGAAAGTGGACAAGACCCCTCCGTTTTCAGGACAGGCAGCTATGTCCCAGCTTGTGCACAGCAAATCCTTGTGCCCCCAAAATCTGCACCTAGAGTAGTTTAACTTTTTATTATTTTTATTATTATTATTATTATTATTATTATTATTATTATTATTATTAGAGATGGGGGGTCTCACTATACTGCCCAGGCAGGTCTCGAACTCTTGGCGTAAAGCAATCCTCCCACCTTGGCCTCTCAAAGTGCTAAGATTACAGGTGCAAGCCACCATGCCTGGCCCATGGTGTAGTTCTTTTGTTTTGTTTTGTTTTGTTTTTGTTTTTTGTTTTGTTTTGTTTTTGGAGACAGAGTCTCACTTTGTAGCCCAAGCTGGAGTACAGTGGAGCAATCTCAGTTCACTGCAGCCTCAATCTCCTGGGCTCGGATGATCCTCCCACCTCAGCCTCCCAAGTAGCTGGAAGTATAGGTATTGGCCACCATATCCAGATAATTTTTTTTATTTTTTATTTTTGTAGAGATGGGTTTTCACTATGTAACCCAGTCTGGTCTCAAAGTCCTGGGCTCAAGCAATCTGCACACCTCAGCCTCCCAAAGTGCTAGGATTACAGGTATGAGCCACTGCCATGGTGTAGTTTCAAATGGCTGCACATTTTCAATTTACTGAGCGGAGGCCAGGCAAAATATTATCTGACTTGGAGTAACTGTCATCAAGAAAGGAGTGAGCTACTCTTGCAGCTCAGCCACATGAGGGATGAAGTCTCCAACTCCCAATCCCCCTTGAGCTTCTCTCAACAGCCTTAGGATATCTGGCTTCACAATCTCTTTGTCCCTTCATCTTTTCTCCACTGTTCTCTAAGCACTCTATGGATTGGATGCCATCCACTTGCACACGGCCTTCTAACATCCATGCCACCTCTGTTTTTCTAGGCACACGTGTTAGCACTTAGGCGTAGGAATCCCCGTGAAACTGCAGTCTGAAAAGAGGGGGTAAAGAGATTTGCTCAGCAACATTTCCTGTGCTGTTCCCTTTTCCCACATAAGTACTTCAACATGTTTCTAGTGGGGAAAATATTTAGTCCCAAACTCTTTGGTCAAGGTAAAATCTATTTTTTTTTAGAACAATAGTTCAAAGTCTGGGTGCGGTGGCTCACGCCTGTAATCCCAGCACTTCGGGAGGCTGAGGAGGGCAGATCACCTGAGGTCAGGAGTTCGAGACCAGCCTGGCCAACATGGTGAAACCCTATCTCTACTAAAAATACAAAAATTACCTGGGCACGGTGACTCACGCCTGTAGTCCCAGCTACTCAGGAGGCTGAGGCACGAGAATAGCTTGAATCCAGGAGATGGAGGTTGCAGTGAGCCGAGATCACGCCACTGCACCCCAGTCTGGAAACAGAGTGAGACTCGGTCTCAAAAACAAAACAAAACAAAATCAGTAAATTGATTCAGGTGGGCACAGCGGCTCATGCCTATAATCCCAGCACTTTGGGAGGCTGAGGCAGGAGAATCACTTGAGCCCAGGAGCTGGAGACCAGCCTGGGCAACACAGTGAGACTCCATCTTTACAAAGCATAATAATAATAAATTAGCCAGGTGTGGTGGTGCACGCTTGTAGTCCTAACTACTTGGGAGGCTGAGATGGGATAATCACTTGAGCCCAAGAGTTCAAGGATGCAGTGAGCTATGATCATGCCACTATACTCCAACCTGGGTGGCAGAGAGAGACCCTGTCTTTAAAAATAGATTTAAAAAAATTAATTGATTCAAACATATTTTGAGTAAAATGTGCCCAAATCATGATTTTGCAATAAATGCTATGCAGCCAACCACACGATATTGGTAATATAATATAATATTTGCTATTATATAATACCATATGTAATAGATAACATAAAGTTATTGTGGTAGATTCAGAGCCCATGGATTATAAACCAACAATAAAAGAGCCAGGACTGAGAGATGACAAGATGCCAAGGAGTAAAAAGTCAATAACGTTTCAATTTCCTAAACCTTCACATTTTTTAGGCTTCCTGGGATGGTGCAGCTGTAGAGTTAGATTAACCCACGAATAATGTACCAGCATGGACCATTCTTCCAGCTTTCCAGTAGGGATGCAGCCAACAACTGTAACATCACCTGTGTCACTGATAAGGTAACTGATAGAGATTAGGTAGAACACCTACGGTTTTATCCCGTAAGTAAAGGATTCAAACCAAGTGGCATCCAATACTCAGAGGGATGTGCCAGGTATACCTTCTGTGAATTGATAGCCTTGCAATATTCTAAATGTGACCCTTCTTTTTCTCATATTCTAATGCTAATGCAACTCTTTGTTTTTCAGGGTTTTTTTCTCCAAAGACTAAAGTGTCTGAACACAAAATAAACACATAAACCTCACAAGGTAAAGAATTTTACTGGGTATGGTGGCTCATGCCTGTAATCGCAGCACTTTTGGAGGCTGAGGCAGGAGGATTGCTTGACACCAGGAGTTCAAGACCAGTCTGGTGGCAACATAAAGAGAAACCCATCTCTACAAAAAGAAAACAAAAATAACTGGGTCCAGGAATTCAAGGCTGCAGTGAGCTATGATTAGGTCACTGCACTCCAGCCTGGGTGACAGAGTGAGACTGTCTCTTAAAAAACAAACCAAGGTGGTGGCTCACACCTGTAATCCCAGCACTTTGGGAGGCCAAGGCAGGAAGATCGCTTGAGCCCAGGAGTTCAAGACCAGACTGGCCAACATGGTGAACCCCTGTCTCTCCAAAAAATATAGAAAAACAAACAAAACAAACAAACCAAAAAAAACCAACTTAGCCATGTGTGGTTCCACATACCTATGGTCCCAGGGAGGCTGAGGTGGGAGGAGTACTTAAGCCTGGAAGGTTGAGGCTGCAGTGAACCATGTTCACACCACTGCACTCCAGCCTTGGTGGAAAGAGTTAGACTCTGTCTCAAAAAAAAAAAAAAAAAAAGCTTCACAGAACTCTTACGGGTAGAAAGACTAGCCAAATCAGCCTTGCCTCTCCTGTGAGTTTTTGTCCTAGTGAAATCAGAAATCAGATTTAAAATTATGACAATATCGGTCAGGTGCGGTGGCTCACGCCTGTTATCCCAGCACTTTGGGAGGTGGAGGCTGGTGGATCACCTGAGGTCAGGAGTTCGAGACCAGCCTGGCCAACATGGAGAAACACCATCTCAACTAAAAATACAAAAAATTAGCCGGGCGTGGTGGAGGGCACTTGTAATCCCAACAACTTGGGAGGCTGAGGCAGGAGAATCGCTTGAACCTGGGAGGTGGAGGTTGCAGTGAGCCAAGATCATGCCATTGCACTCTAGCCTGGGCAACAAGAGCAAAACTCCGTCTCAAAAAAAAAATAATAAAATAAAATAAAATTATGACAATATCAACCCTAGAGTGTAAAAAAGAGTAACAAACAAACAAAATGGGAGCAGAGACAGACCACCTATTTCTTTTCCTTCTTCTTCGGTAGTGCAGGCAGTTTGTGGGCTAAAAGCCATATTCTAGGAAAGCTACTTCTAGTAGAGCCACATTCCAGGAAAGTTGCCTGGGTCCTGGGTCTGTGTCCTGATGTGTACTACCGTAAGCACATTACGTATTGATAAAGGACATGCATGCGCATACTTTTTAAGCCAGTTTTCTGTTACTATGTCCTGCCGCAGAATTTGAACGCAGAAAAATAGTGGAAATCCAGCCACTCCCATCTGACCCATGAGTCTGTGTGTGCTGCCCAAGGATGCCCAGGGCGCTCCCACACTCGGCCGCAGCCTGAGAGTTACAGCACCCCCATCCCCACCAGATCAGGGTCTACACTCTTCCTTCAAATCAGGAACTTGAAAATAGGCACCTTTTAGCTTTATTACACACTGGGTCCACAGTCTCCCTTAGGTACAATGAGCCGCAAAGCCAGCTAAAAGAAGTGACTGGGTTTGACAGCAGGTGAAAAAGAAAAGGGAAATTTTTTTTAAAAAAAGACAAGTGACTGGGAGCGGTTACAGAACATGAGCTCTGCGGCAGACCTGGGTTCAAAACCTTCCTCTATCACTTAGTAGCCATGGGACACTGACAACTTACTTGATTGCTTCGATATGCTAATTTGAATTCCCCTAGAAGCAGACTCTGAGGCAAGGATTCACATGTAAGTAGTTTATTTACCAGATGATCCAGAAAACATTACTAGGGGAGTAGAGAAAATGGGATCAGAAAGGGAAGGCAGACCACAGAGGAGAGGGCATATTACCAAGCAAGTCAACACCGCGGACCACGGGAGCACTCTATAATTTTGTGTTTTTGTTCGTTTGCTTGTTTGTTTAATAGAGATGGGAGCCTCACCATGTTGCCCAGGCTGGTCTCGAACTCCTGGGCTTAAGCGATCCTCCCGCCTCAGCCTTCCAAAGTGCTGGGGTTACAGGCATGAGCCACTGCTCCCAGCCTCCACTGGGGAACTCTAGAAGACTGTGTATAACACACACCTAGGAGTTTTCTCAGCAAAGGGCAGGGGAGTTGGGTCGTTATCAGCCATCGATTAACAGCTGCTTGGGGCAGAGAGGAGGACTAATTCCTTGACACTTCTCATCTGCCTCCCAGGGGCAAGTTAAGCTCTGGCAGCCACAGAAGGCCCTCAGGCAAATAGTTATAACTGTGGGCAGTTGAAAATCTGGCCAGGGAGCCCAGAAATAATAAGGGCAAGGATAACAGTGCGGTCTGCATCTGCTACACCCAGTGCATTTTCTGTCATTTCTAAACCCCCTCATAGGGCTAGCACTAGTCAATGGAAGCTGCTATCATTTCAGCCAAAATAGAGCAGAAATTTTCTTTTCTTTTTTTTTTTTTTTTTTTTTGAGACAGGGTCTGTGTCACCCAGGCTGGAGTGTAGTGGCACAATCTCAGTTCACTGCAGCCTCGACCTTCTGGGCTCAAGCAATTCTCCCACTCCAGCCTCCAGAGTAGCTGGGACACAGGTGCACTCCACTATGTCCAGCTAATTTTTATATTTTTCTGTGAGATGAGATCACACCATGTTGCCCAGGCTAGTCTTGAACCCCTGGACTCAAGCAATCTGCCCGCCTCAGCCTCCCAAAGTGTTGGGATTACAGGCGTGAGCCACTGTGCCCAGCCTAGAGCAGTGAAATTGAAAGAAGATGTGGTAAACTGAGTAATGTCCTGTTTCCCAAACAAGACCACACCCTAATCCTCAGAATCTGTGGGCATTACCTTACCAGGACAAAAGTGACTGCCGATGTGATCAAATTAAAGATTTGAGATGGGAAGATTATTCTGAATTATCCAGGTGGGTACAATGTCATCACATGGGTCCTTATAGGAGCCAAGCAGGAGGATCAGAGTCAGAAAAGGAGACGTGATGATGGAAACAGAGGTCAGAGTGATGTGGGGCTATGAACCAAGGAACACAGGTGGCCTCTAGAAGCTGCAAAAGGCAAGGAAACAGATTTTCCACTAGAGCCTCCAGTAGGAATGCAGCCCTGCTGACCCATTTGAAATATCTGACTCCAGAGCTATAAGATAAATTTGTAGTTTTTTGTTGTTTGTGTGTGTGTGTGTGTGTGTGTGTGTGTGTGTGTGAGATGGAGTCTCACTCTGTTGCCCAGGCTGGAGTACAGTGGCACGATCTCGGCTCACTGCAACCTCCGCCTCCTGGTTCAAGCAATCCTCCTGCCTCAGCCTCCCAAGAAGGTGGAACTACAGGCAGGCATCACTATGCCCAGCTAATTTTTGTATTTTTAGTAGAGACAAGGTTTCACCATGTTGGCCAGGATGGTCTTGATCTCCTGACCTTGTGATCTGCCTGCCTCAGCCTCCCAAAGTGCTGGGATTACAGGCATGAGCCACTGCACCTGGCCAAATTTGTGTTGTTTTAAGTCACTAAGCTTGTGGTAATTTGTCACAGCAGCAATAGGAAACTAATACAGAAAACTGGTCAGGAATAAGAATTGCTACCGCATAGTAATATTTCCTGTGAGCCAGCACTAAGCACTTTAAGAATTTTAGGTCAGGCACAGTCTCACATCTGTAATCCCAGCACTTTGGGAGGTTGAGGTGGGAAGAGCACTTGAGCCGAGGGGTTTGGGACCAGCCTGGGGAACATAGTGAGACCCCATTGCATTAAAAAAATACAAAAATTAGCAGGGCATGGTGGTGTGCACCTGTAATCCCAGCTACTTGGGAGGCTGAGGTGGGAGGATCCCTCGATAACAGGAGTTTGAATCTGAAATGAGTCATGATTGCACCACTATACTCCAGCCTGAGCAACAAAGCAGGACCCTCTCTTAAAAAAAAAAATTAAAAGACAAAAGCATCTTAATTGTTTTAATCCTTACACTGACTATAGGTATATTTGCTACGTGGCCTTGAACTCATCTTGCCATTTTGAATGTCCATTTATACTTCCTCTGTGCTATAGCTAAATGATAAAAAGCTTTTAATTAATTTTATTATTGCAGTTTCACTAAGCAAACAAGCAGTTCTCCTGTGGAAGAACATCTGATACCAAAAGCTTCCCTTCCTGCCAATAAAAGAGTGAAGGCTGACACAGCTGCACTTGAAGCAGGTTGAATAAAAACCGGACTCAGCCCCTTTAAGTCCGGCTGATGACAAACGGGTGCTTTTTATCTTTTGCTGTTGCTCTGGCTCAGTACAGCCATTTAATTATTCATAGGAAGGCTCTTTGGTATTTTCACTGTAGAAGTCACATCTGAGACTTAAATCTTACTTCCACCAACTCCAGTGATGAAGTTTCCAGACTAATGAAAACGTCAGTGCTGTGACATTCCCGGAACCCATTCTTTTAGCTCTGCAAGGAAAGCTAGACTTGGGCTTTCCATTGTTGGAGCATAAAGTTCCTCACTCACCAAAGCTGCCAGCAGGAAAATCCACCAGACACTTTAAGCTAGTGATTACACTGATGTAAATATAAACTTACCACGAATATAACAATGAAAGTTTTTTTATCCTTGGAAAAATCTTGGAGTGTGGAGAAAGCATCTCAATTACCTTGCAGGTCAGTGTGCAATTATATTAGGCTTTCTCCCTCTTTCTCTCCCTCTTTGTTTCCCATTTCTTTCTAAATAGCACTAGATACAAGGGGGAAAGGCAACTGGGCTATTACTTCATTTAAGAAAGAAAGGATGGTTACTTTTTTTTTTAATTGTTGTTAGGATTCTGTTTTTTTTTTTTTTTTTTTTTTTTGGTAGAGACAGGAGTCTCGTTGTGTTACCCCGGCTGATCTCAAACTCCTGACCTCAAGTGATCCTCCCACCTGGGCCTCCCAAAGTACTGGGATTACAGGTGTGTGCCACTGCACCCAGCCTTTTTTAAAAAAATAATTTTAATCACGGCTATAATCCTAGCACTTTGGGACGATGAGGCAGGTGGATCACCTGAGGTCGGGAGTTCGAGACCAGCCTGACCAACATGGAGAAACCCCATCTCTACTAAAAATACAAAATTAGCCAGGCATGATGGCACATGCCTGTAATCCCAGCTACTCAGGAGGCTGAGGCAGGAGAATCACTTAAACCTGGGAGGCGGAGGTTGTGGTGAGCCAAAATCACACCATTCCACTCCAGCCTGGGCAACCAGAGCAAAACTCCATCTCAAAAAAAATAAATAAATAAAATAAAATAGAGACAGGGTCTTGCAATGTTGCCCAGGCTGGTCTCAAACTCCTACCTCGGTCTCCCAAAGTGATGGGATTACAGGTGTGAGCCCCTGCCCTCAGCCAATGGTGACTGATTAACCAGAAAGGCATTCACTCAAGACTTTCAGATAGAGATCATCAACACTGTAAAGAGGGAATGAAAAGTTTGATTTTTTTTTTTTTAATTGATCATTCTTGGGTGTTTCTCGCAGAGGGGGATTTGGCAGGGTCACAGGACAATAGTGGAGGGAAGGTCAGCAGATAAACAAGTGAACAAAGGTCTCTGGTTTTCCTAGGCAGAGGACCCTGCGGCCTTCCGCAGTGTTTGTGTCCCTGGGTATTTGAGATTAGGGAGTGGTTATGACTCTTAACGAGCATGCTGCCTTCAAGCATCTGTTTAACAAAGCACATCTTGCACCACCCTTAATCCATTTAACCCTGAGTGGACACAGCACATGTTTCAGAGAGCACGGGGTTGGGGGTAAGGTCACAGATCAACAGGATCCCAAGGCAGAAGAATTTTTCTTAGTACAGAACAAAATGAAAAGTCTCCCATGTCTACTTCTTTCTACACAGACACAGCAACCATCCGATTTCTCAATCTTTTCCCCACCTTTCCCCCTTTTCTATTCCACAAAACCGCCATTGTCATCATGGCCCGTTCTCAATGAGCTGTTGGGTACACCTCCCAGACGGGGTGGCGGCCGGGCAGAGGGGCTCCTCACTTCCCAGTAGGGGCGGCCGGGCAGAGGCGCCCCTCACCTCCCGTACGGGGCGGCTGGCCGGGCCTGGGGCTGACCCCCCACCTCCCTCCCGGACGGGGCGGCTGCCGGGCGGAGGGGCTCCTCACTTCTCAGACGGGGCGGCCAGGCAGAGACGGTCCTCACCTCCCAGACGGGGTCGCGGCCGGGCAGAGGTGCTCCTCACATCCCAGATGGGGCGGCGGGGCAGAGGCGCTCCCCACATCTCAGACAATGGGCGGCTGGGCAGAGACGCTCCTCACTTCCTAGATGGGATGGCGGCCGGGAAGAGGCGCTCCTCACTTCCCAGACTGGGCAGCCAGGCAGAGGGGCTCCTCACATCCCAGATGATGGGCGGCCAGGCAGAGACGCTCCTCACTTCCCAGACGGGGTGGCGGCCGGGCAGAGGCTGCAATCTCGGCACTTTGGGAGGCCAAGGCAGGCGGCTGGGAGGTGCAGGTTGTAGCGAGCCGAGATCACGCCACTGCACTCCAGCCTGGGCACCATTGAGCACTGAGTGAACGAGACTCCGTCTGCAATCCCGGCACCTCGGGAGGCCGAGGCTGGCGGATCACTCGCGGTTAGGAGCTGGAGACCAGCCCGGCCAACACAGCGAAACCCCGTCCCCACCAAAAAAATACGAAAACCAGTCAGGCGTAGCGGCGCGCGCCTGCAATCGCAGGCACTCGGCAGGCTGAGGCGGGAGAATCAGGCAGGGAGGTTGCAGTGAGCCGAGATGGCAGCAGTACAGTCCAGCCTCGGCTGGGCATCAGAGGGAGACCGTGGAAAGAGAGGGAGAGGGAGACCGGAGGGAGAGGGAGGGGGAGGGGGAGGGGGGGGAGAACTTAAAGTTATCTTAAATATTATAATCGAAAAGTTTGATTTTTATCCTCCTTGGGTCTTGTAGAAGATTCAGGCTCTTGATGTTTCTGAACTGTTGCATCAGCTACCTGTTCATTTATGTCTTCCTTTTTAGGCTGTAAATTCCTCAGGGCAAGTCCTCAGCCTTATTTATCTTTGTTTTTCCAAATTCCAGAAAATTCTGAATGCACGGAAGATATTTGTGCTTATTGAACGGCATGACAGGGTGACTGTATACATTAATACATGAGTAAATAAAGTTCATAGGTTTTCACTGTTGAATGATTCCAGGTATAACTGCATGTTCAGCACAGAGCCTGCTAGTGATCACTTGTTGAATACAAATAAAGGTAGCCGGGTGCATCGAGACCAGCCTGGCCAACATGGTGAAACCCCATCTCTACTAAAATACAAAAAATTAGCCGGGCGTGGTGATGCACACTTGTAGTCCCAGGTGCTGGGAGGCTGAGGCACGAGAATCGCTTGAACCTGGGAGGCAGAGATTGCAGTGAGCCGAGATTGTGCCACTGCACTCCAGCCTGGGCAACAGAGTGAGATTCTGCCAAAAAAAAAAAAAAGGAATATAAATAAAGGTAAAGCTGTAAACTGGCAACAGCCTACCTGAGCCTTCTTTAGGACTCTCACATAGCCAGCCCTGTTTTTGGTGACTTCGTCCCTCACATGCTTAGTCATTATCATGCAATTTGACAAGTGTTCTTGTGCTCCTACAGAGATGCTGAAGAATCATAATGATACACCTTTGTGCAGCTCCCAACCTGCACAAAATAGCTGCACTCTAACAACCAAACGGCATTGCATTTGTGTCCACTTCATGGCATTCCTGCCTTCACAGTAAAATCACATTCAGTACAGGTAAAATACTCTCTAAAATACTCTTTTTTTTTTTCTCAAGATGGAGTCTTGCTTTGTCACCCAGGCTGGAGTGCAGTGGCATGATCTTGGCTCACTGCAACCTCCGCCTACCGGGTTCAAGCAATTCTCCTGCCTCAGCCTCCTGAGTAGCTGGGATTACAGGCACACACCACCACACCTGGCTAATTTTTGTATTTTTAGTAGATACAGGGTTTCACCATGTTGGCCAGGCTGGTCTCGAACACCTGACATCGTGATCCGCCTGCCTTGGCCTCCCGAAGTACTGAGATTACAGATGTGAGCCACCGTGCCCAGCCTAAAATACTCTTACAGGCGGAGCACAGTGGCTCACGCCTGTAATCCCAGCACTTTGAGAGGCCGAGGCAGGAGGATCATTTGAGTCCAGGAGTTCGAGACCAGCCTGAGCAGCATAGTGAGACCTGGTCTCTACAAAAAATACAAAATTAGCCAGGCATGGTTGTGAGCACCTGTATACCCAGCTACTCAGGAGACTGAGATGGGAGGATTGCTTGAGCCTGGGAGGTTGAGGCTGCAGTGAGCCGTGATTGTGCCACTGCACTGCAGCCTGGGTGACAGAAATGAGACTGTGTCTCAAAAATAATAATTTCATAAATAAATAAAATACTCGAAGAATAAGAGATACAGGCATAACAAAGAAATGAAGACAGGCCAGTTAAGTCAAAAAGAGGAGAAGAAAACAATAGAATGAGAACAAGTGAGCAAATCCTATAGTGCAAGGAATTTACCTGGCATTGAAAAGGGTAGAGAAGGCCAGGCCTGGTGGGTCACGCCCATAATCCCAGCATTTTGGGAGGTTGGGGGAGGTGGATCACTTAAGGTCAGGTGTTTGAGACCAGTCTGGCCAACATGGTGGAACTCTGTCTCCATTAAAAATACAAAAAATTAGCCAGGCGTGGTGGCAGGCACCTGTAATCCCAACTACTTGGGAGTCTGAGGCAGGAGAATCACTTGAACCTGGGAGGCAGTGGTTGCAGTGGGCTGAAATTGTGCCACTGCACTCCAGCCTGGATGACAGAGCAAGACTCCATCTCAAAGAAAACAAAACAAAAAAAAAGAAAGATGAAAGAAAGAAAGAAAGAGAAAAAGAAAGAGAGAAAGAAAGAAAAGAGTAGAGAAAACAGCACTCTCTCCCTTTTTTTTTTAGACAAGTTCTCACTCTATCGCCCAGGCTGGAGTATAATGGCATGATCGTGGTTCACTGCAGCCTTAACCTTCCAAGGCTCAGGTGAGCCTCCTACCTCAGCCTCCCGAGTAGCTGGAACTATAGGTGCATGCCACCATGCCTGGTTAATTTTTTTGTATTTTTGGTAGAGACGGGGTCTCACCATGTTGCCCAGGCTGATCTCAAACTCCTGGGCTCAAGTGATCCACCCACCTCAACCTTCCAAATGCTGGGATTACAAGCATAAGCCACCTTTCTCCTTAAACCCAGAGTCAAAAACTGTTTCAAAAACAGAGCTACAGAAAGATTAAACATCTGTGATTTTAGAAAATCACAATGAAAAGAGAAGAGGCTGTCATTTTGGCTCTTAGAACCCAGGGGTCTCTGATAGCATTGGGCTAGTTTTGAGATGCTTCTATATAAGGTCATGATTTCTCAACTGGTTATAGAGATGCCTCTTGACTGGGTGACTTTCGGCAGGGTACTTGACCTTTCTTGCCTCTGTTTTTCATCTATCTACATCATGAAATTGTTATGAGGACAGATGAAACAGTATCTATAAAGGGCCTAGAATGATGCCTGGTACATAGTAAGTGTGCTGTAATTATTATTTATTATTACATCTTTTGTTGTTAAAGAGTAAATCAGCAAAATAAAATTCTGGTTAATTGTTGAACATTGTTTCACACATACATCAAACAAGTGAAAACATTTATAAACAAACAGCAACTTTATAGACAAAAAAAGAGGAAAAAAAAAAAAAAAAGAAAGAAACCCAGCCAGACACAGCAGCTCACACCTGTAATCCCAGCACTTTGGGAGGCCAAGACAGGAGAATCACTTGAGCTTAGGTGTTCAAGATCAGCCTGAACAAAACAGTGAGACCCCCTGTCTCTACAAAAATTTTAAAAATTAGTTGTGCATAATGGTGTACACCTGTGGTCCCAGGTACTCGGGAGGCTAAGGAGGGAAAACTGCTTGAGCCAGGAAGGTCAAGGTTACAATGAACACTGATTGCACCACTGCACCAGTCCAGCGAGACCGTGTCTCTAAAAAAAGAGAGAGAGAGAGAGAGAAATCTTTTGTATTTGGCCTATTTAACCATTTCGTACAAACCAACTACTCATAGTACAGCTTAATACATACACAAAAAAACTTAATAGATGCTCAGAATAAGAGTTGTCCTTTTGCTTTTCTTTTCTTTTTTTTTTTTTTTTTTTTTTGAGATGGAGTCCCGCTCTGTCACCAGGCTGGAGTGCAGTGGCACAATCTCAGCTCACTGCAACCTCTGCCTCCCTTGTTCAAGCAATTCTCCTGCCTCAGCCTCCCAAGTAGCTGGGATTACAGGCACATGCCACTACATCCAGCTAATTTTTGTATTTTTAGTAGAGACGGGGTTTCTCTGTGTTAGCCAGGATGGTCTCGATCTCCGGACCTCGTGATCCGCCCACCTTGGCCTCCCAAAGTGCTGGGATTACAGGCGTGAGCCACCACGCCCAGGCTGCTTTTCTTTTTATAAGGTTTTTTCCTTTGAGATTTTAAGGAACAAGGTCATGCCACAAGTAAAATCGGAAGTAGGACAGAGAACGCTCTGAAGACTGCTTTGCTCTTCCAAGATCATTAAGTGTGGCTGACCCCTAACAATATGTACAAAAATATAAAAGGTAAATTTAAAATGAAAAAAACAAAAAACAAACCCCCCCGCCCACCTTTTTTTTTTTTTTTTTGAGATGGAGTTTTGCTCTTGTCGCCCAGGCTGGAGTGCAATGGCATGATCTCGGCTCACTGCAACCTGCGTCTCCTGGGTTCAAGCAATTCTCTTGCCTCAGCCTCCCTAGTAGCTGGGAGTACAGGCATGTGACACCATGCCCAGCTAATTTTTTGTATTTTTAGTAGAGACAGGGTTTCACCATGTTGGCTAGGCTGTTCTTGAACTCCTGACCTCAGGTGATCCACCTGCCTTGGCCTCCCAAAGTGCTGAGATTAAAAAGGCATGAGCCACCATGCCCGGCCAAAAATCTCCTTTGAAAGTACTTTTGAGAAAAAAAAGCAGGGCCTTGGGATTATTCATTCTTTTTTCCTGTCCCGTTGCAAAGTCACGCTGCAGTTTTGGTGGGTGGTGGAAAATCTATGCCATCTGCTGGTGGTGCTCCCCCCGAGGATGGACAGCCTCTGTGCTCCAAGGCGACCAACTGAGATTCTGAGAAGGCAGGTGAAGAGAATGGCCCCATGCTGCAGGGGGTCAGGCAGTGGGGCAGGGGAGTGCTGTATGACCTAGAGATGTGATAAAAGTCATGAGACTTCATGCCTTCTACCTGATCTCCATCTAGTACATAGATTAAATGATGTCCCCATCAGCTGACAAAGAACACTTGACACCCATCAAAAGTCATCAGGCATTTGTGGGGTTTTTTGTTGTTTATTTTTTGAGGCCAAGTCTCATTCTGTCACCCAGGCTGGAGTGCAGTGGTGCAATCTCAGCTCACTGCAACCTCTGCCTCCTGGGTTCAGGTGATTCTCAGGCCTCAGCCTCCTGAGTAGCTGGAATTACAGGCGTGCACCAACACACCCAGCTAATTTTTGTATTTTTATTAAAGACAGGGTTTCACCATGTTGGTTAGGCTGGTCTCAAACTTCCAACCTCAGATGATCTACTCGCCTCGGCCTCCCAAAGAGCTGGGATTACAGGCGTGAGCCACTGTGCTCGGCCATCAGGTATTCGTTGAGTCTTTGGCAAGGTCTTGGTGTCTCTCTGGGCCCAAGCCTGCTGTCTTTTGCAGCTTGGGGCACAAGGTTTCTAGAGTCCACTGTCCTCATGTTTCCCTTGGCATGTAAATAAATTCCCAGAGTGATTGCCAGAACTCAAATAAACAACCCTGCTCTCAGCCTGAACTTTTTTTTTTTTAAGATGACCTCAGACAACCTTTCCTCCCCATTTTAGGTACACAGACCTTTTAGCACGTGACCTTAAGGATTGCATCTTATGGTATTCATACTCCTTATCCATATGTCTTGAACAAGAACCTCATAAACAGCCAAGAAGTGTGCGTCAGGAACAGTGATTCATGTTATTGTGCTGATGGACCTCAGTAGTGCCAGATGACTTGTGTGGCGTGAGCATCAGCCAATGGAATGGACACTAGCCCATCAGGGCAGATGCCTCTAAACAAACTGCACTGGTTTGTACTGGCAGGGCTCCACCACGCAGACAGCCACATCAGTAACTCTCTGCCAAACATCAGGAATACGTGCTATCTAATAGGGTTTCCCCCAAGAGCAAAATCTGAGAGAAGGGCGTGGATCCAGGTAGTTTATTTGGGAGGTGATGCCAGGAAGCAGGAGTAGGGAATAGGGAGAATGAAACCAAAAAGGGGGAAAAGCCAACACGAATTGTCTGAATGAGGTGTGTGAATCCTGCTGGGACCTTCGAAGGAACCATAAAGAAAGCACATCAAGAAGTGCTCCACTTAGGCCAGGCGCGGTGGCTCACACCTGTAATCCCAGCACTCTGGGAGGCTGAGGCAGGCGGATCACTTGAGGTCAGGAGTTCAAGACCAGCCTGGCCAACATGGTGAAATCCCATCTCTACTAAAAATACAAAAATTAACTGGTACGGTGGCATACCCCTGTAGTCCCAGCTATTTGGGAGGCTGAGGCAGGAGAATTGATAGGACTTGGGAGATGGAGGTTGCAGTGAGCAGAGATCACGCCACTGCACTGCAGCCTGGGTGACAGAGGGAGACTCCATGAAGAAGAAGGAGAGGGAGACGAAGGAGAAAAAAGAAGAAGGAGGAGGAGGAGGAGGAGGAGGAGGAGGAGGAGAACTCCGCCAGCAGATGGAGGCTGCAGCATCTAAGCACTGCTCCCATTCCATGTGGGGTGAGGGTAGCTCCCAGGTTGTTAATTCCCTGATACTTTCAGGTTGCACCTGAATTTGGCTTCTACTGTCTTAGAGAAGGCAGAGAGGTGTTTCCATATATGCTTGAGAAATAATACTGGCAAAGTGCACAGAACTATCAAAGGTGCACTGAAATCAGGTGAGTTGCAGAGATGTGACACCAGACGTCACAAACGCTTGCTACAAATGCTTAATAAAAGTATAAATGAAGTGCAGCAAGAGCGTTGCACAGGCCCCCTTAAATCTTTGTGGTAGAAGACAGATGCTTATTGGCCTGTGCAACATCCCTTCCTCTGGGGAACCACTTTTTTCTCCACTTCAATGTGATTGCGTTGATTCTATATAGTATGCGGAAAAATAGCCTCTCAAACATATTCATGTCACAGCCCCTGGAACTTGTAAATGTGTTAGATTACATGGAAAAGGGGAATTAAGGTTGCAGAAGGAATTAAGATTGCTATTCTAATCAGCTGACTTGGAATGGGGAGATTATCCTGGATTATCCAGTGCACCCAATATAAACACAAAAGTCCTTATAAGTAGAAGAGGGAGACAGAAAAATGAGAACCAGAAAAATAAGAGCATGAGAAGGAGGTTGCTGGTGTTGAGGATGGAGGAATAGGGCACAAGCCAGGAGATGTAGGTGGTCCCTAGAAAGTGGAAAAGGCAAGGACACAGATTCTCTCTTAGAGCCTCCAGAAAGGAAGGCAGTCAAGCCATGACCTTGATTTTAGCCCAGTGATTCCCATTTTAGACTTGTGACCTCTAGAACTGGGAGGTAATCAATGTGTGCGACTTCAAGCCCCTAAATTTGTGGTAAATTGTTACAGCAGCAATAGAAACTAACAGACTCCACATGATTTGATGAGGCTGACGGGGCCATATCCTCGCCCCCAAAGCTGGGAACATGACCCAGTCATCCATCAGCATCCGTCGTGATTCATCCAAGAACAGATGCACAACCTAAGCAGGGCCTGGCCCTTTCCAATCCTAATGGGAAAGAGACATCCTCTTTAACTGGGATATGGCCTCTATGGCCCTTCCACCCTTGTAATTACATTGGTCACAACAAGATCACAGCAAGAAGGGGTAAAAACATAGAATATGTCTGTCTGTGGGAGGTTTTAAAAAGCCTGGTGCGGGCTGGGCGCAGTGGCTCATGCCTGTAATCCCAGCACTTTGGGAGGCTGAGACGGGTGGATCACCTGAGGTCAGGAGTTCGAGACCAGGATGGTGAACATGGTGAAACCCCGTTTCTACAAAAAAATAAAAATAAATAAATAAAAAATACAAAAATCAGCCAGGAGTGGTGGCACAGATCTGTAGTCCCAGCTACTTGGGTGGCTGAGGTGGTAAAATCACTTGAGCCCAGGAGGCGGAGTTTGCAGTGAGCCGAGATTACACCACTGTACTCCAGCCTGGGTAATAGAGTGAGACTCTGTCTCAAAACAAACAAACAAACAAACAAACAAAAATCTAAATCTAAAAACAGGTCTAAAAAACATTATTTTGAAGTAGTAAAGGGTATAAAGGATACTTTAAGATGTCTGCAATCTGGAAATACCTGGGGGCTTTTTTGTTTGTTTTTTTTTTTACTTGTGACAAAATCACAATTCCTGCTAATATCATTGTGGTTTGTTGCCCACATTCATCATGGAAGGGGAAGGTCAATTTCAGTTGGAAGTTAGTGAAAATAGGAATGATTCTTTTCCTAGCCAAGTTTGTGGACCTCCTAAATTTTATTCAGACTCGTTGGGATCCACAGATTCAGGCTCAAAAGTCCTGAATTGTTATTTCACTTTCCCTAAAAATAAGCCTCCCCCTCCCGCCCACCTTTTTTGTGTGCAAAAAAAGGCTGGAGTGCAATGGTGCGATCTTGGCTCACTGCAACCTCCGTCTCCCAGGTTCAAGCGATTCTCCTGCCTCAGCCTCCTGAGTAGCTGGGATTACAGGCATGTGTCACTATGCCTGGCTAATTTTGTATTTTTACTAGAGACAGGGTTTCTCCATGTTGGTCAAGCTGGATTACAGGCAGGAGTCACCGTGCCCGGCCTCTCACTTTTTTTTTAATGGAGTCTTGCTCTGTCACCCAGGCTGGAGTACAGTGGTACAATCATAGCTCCCTACAGCCTCGAACTCCTGGGCTCAAGCAATCCTCCTGCCTCAGCCTCTTGAGTAGCTAGGACTACAGACACTCACTACTGTGCCTATTTTTTTTTAAATTATTATTATTTTGTAGAAATGGGGTCTTTCCTTGTTGCCCAGGCTGGTCTTGAACCCCTGGCCTCTCAAGTGTTCTTCCCTCGGCCTCCCAAAGCACTGAGATTACAAGTGTGAGCTGTGCTTGGTTCAGTCTGGGTGAGCCTACAATTGAAAATACCTCACAGGGTACCTCGAAGCTGCTACCCACCTTTCTGGCCTACTACTCCACTGGACCCCTTGTCTCCATGCACTCTTTGTGTGGGCATAGCCAACTAGCCAACATTCACCCACTGGTGGGACAACAACAGAAGTATTGCTTATCATTATTGAGGGCTGACCAGGTGCCATACTCTTTTAAAGCATAACCTAATTTAATCCTGTGGCTGGGCATGGTGGCTCATGCATGTAATCCCAGCACTTTGGGAGGCCAAGGTGGGTGGATCACCTGAGGTCAAGAGTTCGAGTGTAGCCTGGCCAACATGGTGAAACTCCATCTCTACTAAAAATACAAAACTTAGCCAGGCAGGGTGGTGGCGCGCGCCTGTAATCACAGTTACTTGGGAGGCTAAGGCAGGAAAATCGCTTGAACCCAGGAGGCAGAGGTTGCAGTGAGTGGAGATCACACCACTGCGCTCCAGCCTGGGCCACAGAGCGAGACTCTATCTCAAAAAATAAAATAAAATAAAATAAAATAAAATAAAATAAAATAAAATAAAATAAAATAATTTAATCCTTGTGACAGCACAATGAGGCAGGTCCTACCATAATTCCCATCATATAGCTGATGCTCAGAGCAGTGGAGTGACTTGCCTAAGGAGAATAAGCAGTGAGGAGTCAGAGTCAGGATTCAAACCTGTTTGTCCAACTCCAGATTCAAATCCTCTAGCCACTTCACAGAACTCTTTTGCTTGTTTTTGGGCCTCTGTGTGCATAACCATTTCCGTCTGCCTGCAACACCTGCTCTGGTCTCTGCCTGGTAAACCCTCACTCCCTTCAAATGCTGCCGGTGCTCCCCCTTCCCTTGGCCCCTTGGCCTCACTGGTTCAGTGCACACCAATCAGACTGCCAAGTGCTAGCACCTGCAACCTTTTGCCTGAGTGTTTTCTGAAACTGTTGGTGCCTGCTCTGCATACATACATCGAAGGGCTGAGTACTAGGGAATTAATGGCCCCAAAAGAGGCTCCCAACCAATATTGATGGAAGCAGATGCATAAATCCCCGTCCCTCCATCCCTCCCAGACAAAATCTACAGTTTCCCAGCATCCCCGAGAAGGATAAAGCTCCAGCTGCCTACAATGGTAACTTGCTTAATAAGTTTGGTGTTTTTTTTTTTTTTTTTTTGTAAACAAGGTCTGGCCCTGTCACCCAGGCTGGAGTGCAGTGGCGTGATCCCGGCTCACCACAGTCTTGACTTCCCAGGCTCAAGCAATCCTCCTACTTCAGCCTCCCAAGTAGCTGGGACTACAGGCATGCACCACCGCTCCCAGCTAATTTTTGTGTTTTTTGTACAGACGGGGTTTTGTCATGTTGCCCAGGCTGGTCTCTAATTCCTGAGCTCAAGTTATCAGTCCCCCTTGGCCTCCCAAAGTTCTGGTTCTGGGATGACAGGTGTGAGCCACCATGCCCAGCCTGATTCACTTTTTTTTTTTTTTTTTTTGAGATGGGGGTCTTGCTCTTGTCGCCCAGTCTGGAGTGCAATGGCACAATCTTGGCTCACTGCAACCTCTGCCTTTCCGGGTTCAGGCCATTCTCCCGACTCAGCCTCCGGAGTAGCTGGGATTACAGGCGCCCGCCACCATGCCCGGCTAATTTTTGTATTTTTAGTAGAGATGAGGTTTTGCCGTGTTGGCCAGGCTGGTCTCAAACTCCTGACCTCATGATCTGCCCACCTCAGCCTCCCAAAGTGCTGGGATTACGGGCATGAGCCACCGCACACACTTTTACTGACTTCTTTCCTTTTTTCTGTCTCACTCTGTCACTCCCTTACTGTTGATTCCTGGGAACATCACCCAAAACCATTGCTTGCACTGGAATCTCATCTCAGGCTCCACCTCTAGAGGACCCAAAGCATGCCTTCTCTGAGAAGCCTTCTTCACTTTCCCTAGCAGAGCTGGCTATTCCCTCTTCTGCCCATGGCCTGGGACACACTCCATGAAGGTCGTATTCACATTGGCTTGCAGTAGTTAGTTGACATGTCAGGGTGTAGGTTTCCTATTGCTGCTATAGCATTACTACAAATGGAGTGGCTTAAAGCAATTTCATTTATTGTCTCACAGTTCTGTAGGTCAGAGCCCCACTCTCAAAAACTCTGGCTCAACTGAGTCATCTGCTCAGGGCCCCAGAAAGCCTCACTCAAGGTGGTGACAGGGCTGGGTTCCCTACTGCAAGCTCTGGGGATGGATCCCCTTCAGGTGTTGGTCAAATTTAGTTCCTTGTGGTCGTAGGGCTGGCGTCCCACCTTCCTTGCTGGTTGTGAGCTGAGGGCCAGTCTTTGCTCCAAGAAGCTTCCTGCATTATTTCTCATGCTTTCCATGTGGCCCCTTCACAGGTCAAGTCTTTCTCACACTTAAAAACCTCCCTGACTTTTCTTTCTGCCACATCTGTCTGACTCCAGCTGGAGAAAATTCTGTTTTAGGGGATCATGCGATTAAATTGGGACCACCCAGATAATACAGTATAATCTCCCTATTTTAAGTTTTTGGGTTTTTTTGAGACAGGGTCTTGCTCTGTCACCCAGGCTGAAGTTGGAGTGCAGTGGCACGATCACGGCTCAGTGCAGTCTCTACATCCTGGGCTCAAGTGATCCTCCCAACTCAGCCTCCCAAGTAGCTGGGACTATAGGCCCGTACCACATGCCTGGATACTTTTTTTTTTTTTTTGTAGAGATAGGGTTTCACCACATTGCCCAGGCTGGTCTTGAACTTCTGGGCTCAAGCGAGGCCACCTCAACCTCCCAAAGTACTGGAATTACAGGTACAGGTGAGTCACTGTACCTGGCCCATTTTCCCTATTATTCCTATTACTTCCTGGGGTTGCCTTCATATGGTATTTCTACCTGGTCTCTAGCTCGCCGAATGGATACAGCCTTTGCAAAAGTTTTTCTGTTATTATTAAATATATAATCAGGCCTCACTTGAGCCTGACCTGCTGGTCTATACTGCAGGTCTTCTTAGGATCAGAAATCAATCTTTCTTCCCAGATTTATCCAGCACAGTTTGAGAAAAACAGTCCAATTACCTCATAAACTTCATGCTGAGGCTATAGATTTTCATTTCCTAATTTCCTCTGTTCCATTCTATGACTTCCTATTTCTTTTCCTAGCTCCTGGTCTGCCCTTGAAAGCACCGGTTGGAAACCAATTTCCGTTCCTTGACAAGGGAAACCCTGTTTACACTCAGGGTTTCCTACTCTGTTACATAAGGGTCCGACAGTCACATTTCCTCCTCATGCTGTACAAGCAGTTTATTTCAAGCTGCGTCTACACACAGCAACTGGACATTTGCAGAAATCTTAGGGCCGTAGTCCTGCAGCATAGCCAGACCCAAAGCAGGGTACGTTAGGGTTCAAGGCCACCCTGTGCCCTCTACTTTCAAAGAAAATATCCTTGAGTGGTGGAATTTGGGTAATTTTAACTTTTTAAATTGATTTTTCTTTTTTTTTTGTTGAGACAGATTTTCTCTGTCTCCCAGGTTGGAGTGCAGTGGTGCAATCTCAGCTCACGGCAACCTCTGCCTCCCAGGTTCAAGTGATTCTCATGCCTCAGCCCCTCGAGTAGCTGGGATTACAGGTGCGCCCCACGACGCTAGGCTAATTTTTTGTATTTTTAATAGAGACAAGGTTTCTCTATGTTGGCCAGGCTGGTCTTGAACTCCTGGCCTCAAGTGATCTGCCCACCTCGGCCTCCCAAAGTGCTGAGATTACAGGAGTAAGCCACCGTGCCAGGCCTAAATTTATTTTTCTGTTTTTCAAAATTACATAACCGTCATGTTTTACTTTTATACTCGGAGGAAAAACATAAGCTTTGTTTAAAAAAAAAAAATCAATGATCGAATCAGCCTCTCTAATAGCCTACCCAAAAAGAAGTCCCCCTTTAGTGTGACTGGCTACCTCTTTCCAGACAGAAACTGAGGGCCAGAGTGGGTAACCTGTGACCCAGAGTGGGTAACCCGTGGCCCAGAGTGGGTAACCCGTGGCCATCTGGCCAGTAAGTGGCTGACTCAGGTCTTCATGTGATGACCCTGGGCATAGGTCTTATGTTAAGGTGGAAACCCCTAGAAGCTGACTCTGAGACAAGGACTCTTGTGCAAGTAGCTTATGTGGGAGGTGACTCCAGGAAACACCCGTGGGGAGGACGGGAAAAGGGAGCGGGGGCAGAGCGGTGGGGAGGGCGGAGACTGAGACAGAGAGTAGCTAATTAAGGGACTGGGGAGAAAGGGAGCTGAGCTGCATTTGTCCTCAGGGCACCTCTGGGAGCCAGTGTGGAACACACCTCTGCACGCTGCCTCTGCCGGGAAAGGCGGCTGGAGTGTTGAACATACCACCCCCCATCAGTCAGGCAGCAAGGGCTGCTTCCGGTGTGGGGCCAAGTCCTGGACACTCTGGCCTGCCACGTTGGGGGTAAAGTGGGCTCTGGCAGCAAGAGGAAGCCCTTGAGCAGCTGGCTTCCTCTTGTGAGGAAATAAGGGCCCCTACTTCCAAGGGGCCATGAGTAGGGCCCCGCCCGATGGAGAGGTCAGAGTGAGGGGACATGGTGGGCAAGAAGAGCACCTGCTACAGGTCTAACAGGGAGCAGCCTAAACTGGACCTAGGGGGCATGGAGATCCCTAACAGCCAAAGCCATAAAGTTGCACTGCTGGTCACAGTGCTCCAATCTTCATTCAAGTGAATGGATTACCTCCAGGAAATTAGTTATGAGAGGCAACACATTAATTCATGGCGCCAAGTACCATCTATGTCAGTCAGGATTCTTTGGTTGCAAGTGACGAAACCCAATTCCAATCAGACCCAATTCCAAGCAGACACAAAGGGAAAGAGGAAGGGCGCAACACTTCCTTGCATGAGCAGGAAGGGGAAGGTGCAAACTGTCTGTAATTCATCACATGGAGTGGGCACGAATTTTGCAATTTGTCTACCCAAAGGGAGTGCCTTTTTAAAATTTTTGCCCTAAACCATCTTCATGTTAGCAGCAGCTCAGTTATTCTCAGGAGAAGGATACCAGGCACACAGAATGACAAGTGTCCTCCTCAAAACTGTGACAGATAAAGTAGCTGCCACCCAGCAGAAAATAAGCCCACGACGGAATGGTAACTGTTGTGGGCTAAACTGCGTCCCTCAAGCAGATATGTTAAGGTCCCAACCCCTGGGACCTGTGAATGTGATCTTATTTGGAAATAGGGTCCCTGCAGATGCAATCAGGTTAAGATGAGGTCATACTGGATTAAATGGGCCCTAATCCAATATGACTGGTGTCTTTGTAAGAGGGGAAGAGGCCAGGTGCAGTGGCTCATGCCTGTAATTCCAGCACTTTGGGAGGCCAAGGTGGGTGGATCACTTGAGCTCAGGAGTTCAAGACCAGCCTGGGCAACATGGTGAAACCCCATCTCTACCAAGAATACAAAAATTAGCCAGGTGTGGTGGCATGCACCCGTAGTCCCAGCTACTCAGGAGGCTGAGGTGGGAGGATCGCTTGAGCCCAGGAGGCAGAGGTTGCAGTGAGCCAAGTTCACGCCACTGTACTACTCCAGCCTGGGTGACAGAGTAAGACCCTGTCTCAAAAAAAAAAAAAAAAAAAAAAGAGAGAGAGAGAGAAGTAACACAAGACACAGACACAAAAGGAAACACAGACACTCAAAGAGAGTGCCCTGTTGTGATGACAGGAATAGAGATTGGAGCAATACACGCAAGAACCCAGGAATGCCCAGAAGCTAAGAAAAAGGCATGGAATAGATTCTCCCCCTAGAACATTCAGAGCACACGGTCCTGCCTACACCTTGACTTCTGGTCTCCAGAACTGTCAGAGAAGCCACTCAGATTGTGACACTTTGTTATGGCAGCCCTGGGAAACTGATGCAGATGCTAACTTGACACTGGAGATCTAGAGGCAAGGAGGATGAAGTCCTGGACAGGACAAAGATCTGCCGTGGGCTCAGCATGAGGACACGGGGCAGCTAGGGTGTAAAGGGAGCCTGTGCTGAACTGGAAGGTGAGGTGAGTGCGCACCCATATGCCTCCCACCTGCGCTGCTGCCCATGGCCAAGTCTTTCTATGTGAGGAGTGACTTCCTACCCAAGCAAAGGTGACTAAGAGGAACAAAACATCCCCAACGTTTCCTTTAGATGGTTGCAGATCTTCTCTTCGAAGCCGTTACCTGAAGGTAAAGTGAAGGGGGGCAATGCTCTGTGGGAGGTCATTCCTTCAAATCTAGACGTTTTCTCATTTTCTTCGACTTCTGGGTTGAGTCTTCTTCTGCCACTCTGGCTGTAGCAATTTGACACTTAGCTAACCCTTGTTGAATGCTCCCTATGTGTTAAGCAATGTTTGTTTCGTTTTGTTGAGAGACAGGTTCTCATTCTGCCACCCAGGCCGGGGTGCAGTGGTGCGATCACGGCTCACTGCAGCCTTGACCTCCTGGGCTCAAGTGATCCTCTCACCTTGGCCTTCAGAGTAGCCGGGACTACAGATGTGCATCACCGTGCTCAACTAATTCAATTTCTTATGGAGACAGGATCTCACTAGGTTGCCTAGGCTGGTCTTGAACTCCCAGGCGCAAGTGATCCTCCTGTCTTTGCCTCCCGAAGTGCTGGAATTACAGGTGTGAGCCACGGTGCCAGGCCAAAGTCTTAAGTCTGCACTGTCTCATGCAATAGCTATAGCCACATGTGGCAATGTACATGTAAATTTAAATTAATTAAAATTAGATAAAATTAATCATTTAGCCTGGGCACGGTGGCTAACACCTGTAATCCCAGCACTTTGGGAGGCCGAGGTGGGCGGATCACCTGTGGTCAGGAATTTCGAGACCAGCCTGGACAACATGGTGAAAACCCTGTCTCTACTAAAAATACAAAAAGTAGCCGGGCCTGGTGGTGGGCATCTGTAATCCCAGCTACTCCGGAGGCTGAGGCAGGAGAATCCCTCGAACCTGGGAGGCGGAGGTTGCAGTGAGCCAAGGTCATGTCACTGCACTCCAGCCTGGGTGACAGAATTAATAATTCAGTTTCTTGGTTGCACTAGCTACACTCCAAGCACTCAGTAGCCAGTGGCTACTGTATCAGACAGCGTAGAAGATTTCCGTCATTGCAGAAAGTTTTACAGTGCTGTTCCAAGTCACTCACATGTATTACCTTATGCAATCATCACACCTCCTCTGAGGTAGGTTCTACTATCATCTTCATTTTAAAGTTGAAGAAATTGAGGCTTAGATCACAGAACAAGTAAGTCAGAGGAGCCAGGCTCGGCAGAGCATTCAGACCAGGCAGAGTTGAGGCACCACAGATTTCACCCATTTTCAGCAAGCTTGGCTCAGGTGAAGGCTCCAAGTAGCCTGTCCTTTCCCACTTTTTCCTGCACTTCCTCACTGTCCACTCAGAATTCCCAGTTCCCTTAAGGATCAGGAAACTAAGAAGGTAAATATGTGTGTAGTACCCAAATATTCTGGTACTTCTCTTTCTTTCAGTTCTCCCCTTTCCAGGTAAATGATAGGATTATACTTCCTGAGCCCTCATGAGCCTTCCAGGCTCATTGTTAAGTGAATGATGTGACTAATGCTGGCCAATGAATTTAAGGCAAAGAGCCACTTCTGAGTTGAAGGTTTATTTATTTATTTATTTTTGAGACAGAGTCTCGCTGTGTCACCCAGCTGGAGTGCAGTGGTGCAATCTTGGCTCACTGCAACCTCCACCTCCCAGGTTCAAGCAATTCTCCTGCCTCAGTCTCCCAAGTAGCTGGGACTACAAACATGGGCACCCTACCTGGCTAATTTTTTTTTGGGTTTGTATTTTTAGTAGAGATTAGGTTTCTCCATGTTGCCCAGACTGGTCTCAAACTCCTGGTCTCAAGTAATCTGCCCACCTCAGCCTTCCCAAAGTGCTGGGATTACAGGCGTGAGCCACTGCGCCCAGCCTGAGTTGAAGGTTTAATTGCTGGTGTAAGACCCTCCAGAGCTCTTTCCCTTCTGCAGTGACGGCCCGCAATGCTCAAGATGGTGGTTGCTCCATTGGCCTTTGACCTAGAGGGAGGCTGATGGTGACGAGGCACAGAGCCCTAGCTAACCCCGGATGAACATAATGTTTCAAGCAACGATTCTGAGGCTTTAAGCACAGCATAACTCAACCCACACTAGCCAATACATACATACATACATACATACGTGCATACATACATACATACATACATGCAAAAGATGGTCGCTCTGAGACAACCTCATAGATGTGACCAATACAGAGACTTAAAAACTGAAACCGACAATTTCTACTCTTCCTTCTGGAAGTAAAAAATATATGGCCGGTATGGTGGCTTACGCCTGCAATCCCAGCACATTGGAAGGCTGAGGTGAGAGGATCACTTGAGCCTAGGAGTTCAAGACCAGCCTGGGCAACATAGGGAGACCTTGTCTTTATTTTAAAAATTAAAAAATAAGAAATGTATTTTTATTGCCAGCAAAGCCAGGCAGTTTGGTAGGATGCTTACACACCTGAGACTACTTATCATCACTCTTCAGAAAAATTGAATTTCATCCTATAACTACTGTCTTTGGATAATTTCTTTAGTTTAATGTGGAGTCCAATACTTTGATGAGGCAGACGTAGACGTTGAGCTATTTCTTCTAAAGAGATAAAGAAGGTAAATCACATCATTTCTCAATCCAAGAGACACCATTAAATGAGAAATAGTGATATCAGGGATAAAAATTCCGGGAGGCTGAGGTGGGCGGATCAAGAGGTCAGGAGATTGAGACCATCCTGGTTAACACGGTGAAACCCCATCTCTACTAAAAATACTAAAAGAAATTAGCTGGGCGTGGTGGCGGGCGCCTGTAGTCCCAGCTACTCGGGAGGCTGAGGCAGGAGAATGGCGTGAACCCGGGAGGCAGAGCTTGCAGTGAGCCGAGATTGCGCCACTGCACTCCAGCCTGGGCGACAGAGCGAGACTCCGTCTCAAAAAAAAAAAAAATTCCAACACAGTAGAAATCCAGGCATTTCAGAAGTTTTATCTCAAGTAGGCTAATTGAAGTCAACTAGTAGTCTTGATCACTATGATTACAAAAGGTAACAGACATTTCTGAAAGGAATGGTATCGTGTCTTTTATTATTATTATTATTCTGAGATGGAGTCTTGCTCTGTTGCCCAGGCTCGAGTGCAGTGGGATGATCTTGGCTCACTGCAACCTCCACCTCCCAGGTTCAAGTGATTCTCGTGCCTCAGCCTCCTGAATAGCTGGGACCACAGGGACTCGCCACCACACCTGGCTAATTTTTGTATTTTTAGTAGAGACGAGGGTTTCACCATGTTGGCCAGGCTGGTCTCGAACTCCCGACCTCAGGTGATCCACCCACCTCGGCCTCCCAGTGTGCTGGGATTACAGGCGTGAGCCACTGCATCCAACCAGGAATGGTATCCTATGTTCTTTGTAGTTTCTATTCCCTGAGTCCATTATTAATAGTCAATCCATTAATAAACCAGTATAAGCCAAAGTGTGGAGAGGAACACAGAGCACATGTAATTTATAGTTCTGCTCACAAGGAATTTACAACCTATGCGAAGGGAACAAAGTAAAATTAATGAAATAATAGTGAACCATGGCCAGGCGTGGTGGCTCACACCTGTAATCCCAGCACTTTGGGAGGCCAAGACAGAAGGATTGCTTGAGCCCAGGAGCTTGAGATCAGCCTGGGAAACCAGGAGTGAGACCTCCTCCGTCTACAAAAAATTTATTTATTTATGTATGCATTTATATTTATTTTTTGAGACAGGGTCTCATTCTGTCACTCAGGTTGTAGTGCAACGGTGTGATCTCAGCTCATGGCAACGTCTGCCTTCCAGGCTTAAGTGATCTACCCACTTCAGCTTCCAAAGTAGCTAGGACTACAGGTGTGTGCCACCAAGCCCAGCTAATTTTTAAATCTTTTTGTATCTCACCATGTTGCCCAAGCTGGTCTCGAACTCCTGGGCTCAAGTGATCCACCTGCCTGGGCCTCCCAAAGTGTTGGGACTACAGGCATGAGCCACTGTGCTCAGACACCACAAAAAAATTTTTAAAAATTAGCCAGGCATGGTGGCACATGCCTGTAGTCCCAGCTTCTTGGGAGACTGAGGTGGGAGGATTGCTTGTGCCCCAGGAGGCTGCAGTGAACTATGATTGCACCACTGTACTCCAGCCTGGGCTACAGAGAGAGACCCCGTTCAAAAAAAGGGAAGGAAGGAAGGGAGGGAGGGAGGGAGGGAGGGACGGAGTGAGGGGGGAGGGGAGGGGAGGGGATAGTGAACCACTTATGAGAGTGAAAAATACAGATGCTCACCACTTTCCTCAGCATCTTTTGCTTGCACCTCAGCCAATTATTTCTCATTCTGTATCCATCTCTGAAAGGTCATATTATTAATTGAAATACTTCACTCACTCCCCATTTTTCATGCCATTTTCTGAATAAATGTGTGATCCTTCCCTCTAAATGGATGGAATATATTTATTGACTCTTTGGCTTTGGGTTTGGCCACATGACTTACTTTAGCCAGTGAAAAATGGGAGGTGACAATGTGCCAGTTTTGTACCTAGGCCTTAAGAAGCCACGTATGTTCCTTCCTGCCCCTCTGCTATAAGAATGAAAAGAACATGTGTAGGCCAGCCCTTTAGTTCCAGGAGGAAGATGAGAGATATATGGAGGCAAGTCAAGTCATCCCAGCTGAGCCTGCCTAGATCAGCTGACACCCAGACAACTCCTAGATGCATGAGCAAAATGGTACCGTATGTTATAAAGAATTTATGGGCTGTTAGTTACACAGTAATAGCTAACTGACCTACATGCTCTAGGTTGGATATAGCTGACTCTCACAGCCCTTGTAGTGCTTTATTGCAATTAGCTATCCATACATCCTGTCTCTTCTACTATATTGTGGCATCTTACTGGGATTTCTATGCATCTTTCTATCTCAGCACCTAACCCATCTCTAGCTCACAATGTACACTCAATATATGCTTGTTGAATAAAAATCTGGGAGAAAGAATGAGTAAATGAATAGAATTAGCCATATGGATTTGGATTTCTGAATTGTCCTTGAACAATTCAGGCACGGTGGCTCACGCCTGTAATCTTAGCACTTTGGGAGGCCAAGACAGGTGGATCTCCTTGAGCTCATGAATTCAAGACCAGTCTGGACAACATGGCAAAACCCTGTCTCTACCAAAAATACAAAAAATTAGCCAGGCGTTGTGGTGTGCACCGGTGGTCCCAGCTACTCAAGAGACTGAGGTGGAAGGATCCCTTGAGCCTGGGAGTGAGCTGTGATCACACCACTGCACTCCAGCCTGAGTGACAGAGTGAGACCCTGTCTCAAAAAAAAAAAAGAAAAATAAATAAATAAATAGTTCTGGTAGGTTCAAAAGAACTTGTTATGCAGGAAGGAGGGGGGAAAGTTTATGAAACTGCTTTCAAAATTTTAAATACTGTATAAATTATTACATGATTTTGTCTATACATATATTGAAATTGTACATAAAATAACAATCATATCTAGTATATCTATTATTATAATAGTGCCTTTAACATCAGCTCCCAAAAAACAACCAGCCAACATACAACTTACCTTCAAAATGAAACATTTTTTCAGTTATTGATCAATGAAAAAAATATATTTTTTAAAATACTTGATAGAAGCCGGGTGTGGTGGCTCACGCCTGTAATCTCAGTACTTTGGGAGGCTGAGGTGGGCAGATCGCTTGAGGTCAAGAGTTTGAGACCAGCCTGGCCAACATGGTGAAACCCTGTCTCTACTAAAAATACAAAAATTAGCCGGGCGTGGTCTCACACACTTTTAATCCCAGCTACTGGGAATGCTGAGGCATGAGAATCTCTTGAACCTGGGAGGTAGAAGTTGGAGTGAACTGAGATCGAGATCCTGCACTCCAGCCTGGATGACAGAGGGACAATCTGTCTCAAATTTAAAAAAAAAAAAAAAAAGAAGGCTGGGCACGGTGGCTCATGCCTGTAATCCCAGCACTTTGGGAGGCCGAAGCAGATGGATCACCTAAGGTCAGGAGTTTGAGACAAGCCTGGCCAGCATGGTGGAAACCCCATCTCTACCAAAAATACAAAAATTAGCTGTGTTTGGTGGCGGCTGCCTGTAATCCCAGCTACTTGGGAGGCTAAGGCAGGAGAATCACTTGAACCTGGGAGGTGGAGGTTGCAGTGAGCCATGATCATGCCACTTCACTCCATTCAGCCTGGGTGACAGAGTGAGACTCCGTCTCAAAAAAAAAAAAAAAAAAAAAAAAAAAACTTGTTAGGTAGGAAATGTGTATTTGAGTCCATGGGGAAAAGAATTTGATTGATCTGGATAGTTGCTTTGCTCCCAGGAAAATGTTTTCACTCATCCATGTGTCCCTTCCCAGGAACCAGGGCAAAGCACTAATGGCACTGTGGAGGGAGTTATCACAGGAGTGGAAGAGGACAAAGTGATCATGCATGTGGATACCTAGGGTTACAAAATCATCTGCTATCTTCCTAGGTAAATGTGTTGCTCATATGGGAGGAATGCACAATGGAATATTTTTTCTAAATAAAAAATTGATTTCCACAGAGCACAGTCACACTGCTGTTTTATAGATGGAAAAGTAAATTTCACAACTTCCTTGAAATAAAAACATGAGACTGGCCTAAAGTTTTCTAAGCAATTTTGCAGTAGTTTGACAACTGTTTGTCCTTCTTTTCCAGGGTGTTAAACTGGCCTCCATTTATGATGACTTTTAAACCGAAAGAAGAGTGTGTATTGTTTATAGTAAAAGGAAATCTCTGATTTTAGAAATTTCCCTTTCACATAGCTCTGTATTTGCTATAGACTGAATGTTCATGTCCCCCCAAAATTTATACATTAAAACCTAATCCCCAATGCAATGGGCTAGGAACTGGGGCCTTTGGGAGGTGATTAGGTCATGAGGGTGGAGCCCTCATGAATGGGATTAGTGTCCTCATAAAAGAGACCCCAGGCCAGGTGTGGTGGCTCAAGCCTGTAATCCTGGCACTTTGGGAGGCTGAGGCAGGTGGATCACCTGAGGTCGGGAGTTCGAGACCAACCTGACCAACATGGAGAAACCCTGTCTCTACTAAAAATACAAAAATTAGCCGGGCATGGTGGCACATGCCTGTAATCCCAGCTACTCAGGAGGCTGAGGCAGGAGAATCGCTTGAACCTGGGAGGTGGAGGTTGCAGTGAGCCAAGATTGCACCATTGCACTCTAGCCTGGGCAACGAGAGAAAAACTCCGTCTCAAAAAAAAAAAAAAAAAAAAAAAAGAGAGAGCGACCCCAGAGAGTTCCCCTGTCCCCTTCTGCTATGCAAGATTATAGCAAGAGGCTTTATGAACCAGGAAGTGGGCCCTCACCAGAGGCTGAATCTGCTATTGCCTTGTTCTTGAAATTCACAGCTACCAGAACTGTGAGAAATAGATTTCTGTTGTTTATAAGCCACCCAGACTATGATATTCTGTTATAACAGCCGCAGTGGACCAAAACAGTATTTAATCATCCATTTAATGGCAAGTTAAAACAAAAGAATTTGGGATTTTAAAAAAGTCACAAATTGTGTTTTAATCAGATCATATTTTTTTGGTTTGTTAGCCTATTTGGAGGTGGTAAAAAAAAAACAAAAGCGAAAAATTTTCAAGAGTTCTATATGAAAACTAAATCTATTTCCCACTGTAAGTCTGAAATTATGTTTCCTCCCCAGAGGCACACTCTCATAAGCATTTTACATGTTTTTAAATTTTAAACAAACACAAACCTGCTAACACCTGCTGTTTCATATCTTGTATTTTTCATGTGGGAAAAAAAAAAGATCTTGGAGCTCATTCCATAAGTGACTTGCATTTCAACAGGATTCTTCAAAAGTGACAAGAAAACATAGGAAACCAACATCATTTTGAATCGCTTTCTCATGGAGCTGATTGGCAAGCATTCCTTCATGAAATCGCTCAGCATGTAATCTGGCATTCATGAGCTGTATGTATGGAAAACTCAAGGAGTCTGAGGTGTGAGCAATCAACTGAAGGCACATTTTGTAATGGCCATTGATTCTGTGAACATTAGCAGCATTAATACCTGCTTTGTGATAATAGAAGGTTTGTCATGATTTCAGTGTCACCATTGGAGATTATGAGGTATAGAAAAGTATAGAGCAGGGAAATGCAAATTAAAATAACCATGAGACACAATTTCAGAGCCATTAGATTGGCAACTTTTTCAATCCTGATAACACTAACTGTGGTGAGGGTGGAGAATCAGAAACGGGCTTTTATACTCAGTCTGTGGGAGTGAAAAATTGGAATAATTACAATAGAGAACAATTTTGCAGTACTTAGTAAAGTTGATATGTACATAATTTCAATTCAACAAATATATTTTTTTTTAAGCAGGTTTTTTTGTTGTTCTTTTTGAGACAGAGTCTTGCTCTGTTGCCTAGGCTGGGGTGCAGTGGTGCGATCTCAGCTCACTGCAACCTCTGCCTCCTGGGTTCAAGTGATTCTCATGTC
This sequence comes from Homo sapiens, assembly GCF_000001405.40. Classification (NCBI taxonomy): domain Eukaryota; kingdom Metazoa; phylum Chordata; class Mammalia; order Primates; family Hominidae; genus Homo; species Homo sapiens. The sequence goes on along the minus strand of NC_000020.11, from coordinate 5,678,387 downwards.
TCAGCCTCCTGAGTAGCTGGACTTACAGGTGTGTACCACCATGCCCAAATAATTTTTTGTATTTTCAGGAGAGACGGGGTTTCGCTATGTTGGCCAGGCTGGTCTCAAACTCCTGACCTCAAGTGATCTGCCCACCTTGACCTTCGAAAGTGTTGGGATTGCATGCATGAGCCACCACACGCAGCCAAATTTACTTCTGTATAAATACCCAAGCAAGTTTCTTGAGCTTATGGGTCAGGCCGTGTGTACCTAAGCCTGTTCATTGCAACATTTCTCGGGATAGCAAAACAATGGAATACTACAGAGTAGTTAAAATAAATGCAGGAATTAGGCCAGGCACGGTGGCTCACGCCTATAATCCTAGCACTTTGAGAGGCCAAGACAGGTGGATCACTTGAGGTCAGGAGTTAGAGACCATCCTGGCCAACATGGTGAAACCCCATCTCTACTAAACAGAAAAAAATTAGCTGGGTGTGGTGGCGCATGCCTGTAATCCCAGCTACTTGGTAGCTGAGGCGGGAGAATCGCTTGAACCCAGGAGGTGGAGGTTGCAGTGAGCCGAGATCGCGCTACTGCACTCCAGTCTGGGCAATAAGAGTGAGATTCTGTCTCGAGAAAAACAAACAAAAACCATGTAAAAGCGTGATATCGTTTAAGAGAATTTGTAAAACACACAAATAATGCTTTGTGTTGTTTGTGGACACATATTCTCCAGCTGTCACATCCTCTTCCTGGCCTTCTCTACCTACTTCTGGCCCTGGGAAGCTTTACAGACCTTATCAGAGAACTCTTTTCTCTGTCTTTGGTTGGGTTCATCCAATGGGAAGCACCAGTAGGAGTCAGAGGGGAGGAGAAGAGACAGGCAGGGGGAATTAACTCTCTTCCTCTCCTTGCCTACTCCCTCTTTGCCAGGGGTTTGCAGAGGCTGCATTTGTTCACTGAAGACCACAAGTACTGTCGGTAACCCTCTGCTACAGTGGCAAGTCTTTCTGAGTTCTGTAGCAGGGGACCTCCAGTTGCTACCCCCAAGATGCTTCACCATCCCTTTCTGGGGTCCCTTATTGCAGCCTCTACATTTGCAAAGAGAACTTTTATGAAATTGTCTTCCATGACCCCGTTTGCACATGCTTGTCAAGGCCCTGAATGATGCACGTATTTATGTGGGGAGATTTAAAACTATGCTCATTAGTTGGCTGGGTATGGTGGCTCACGTCTATAATCCCAGCACTTTGGGAGGCTGAGATGGGAGGATTGCTTGAGGCCAGGAGTTCAAGACCAGACTGTTCAACATAGCAAGACCTCGTCCCTATTATTTAAATAAAAAGAAAAAGAAAAAAAGAAGAAAATAAAACTATGCTCACTAATGATCTCTCTCAGTTCAGGAAGCTGGTTACCTCTGCAAAAGGAAGTACAAGAAAGGATTGGGACAGGGTGGAAGGAGTTAGCTGTAGTTGCATAGTTTTTTTTTAAATTTAATCTAATTGATTTATTTCTTTGACACCGAGTCTAGCTCTGTTGCCCAGGCTGGAGTGCAGTGGTGAGATCTCGGCTCACCGCAACCTCCACCTCCTGGGTTCCAGCAATTCTTCTGCCTCAGCCTCCCGAGTAGCTGGGATTACAGGCATGTGCCACCACGCCTGGATAATTTTTGTATTTTTAGTAGAGTCAGGGTTTCACCATGTTGGCCAGACTGGTTTCAAACTCTTGATCTCAGGCTATCCACCCGCCTCAGCTTCCCAAAGTGCTGGGATTATAGGCGTGAGCCTCCGTGCCCAGCCAGTTTTATTTTTTTTAATAAACTTTTTTTAAAAAATCACACCAGAATCTATTGTGTAAAAATGTTCAAATCCATTAAATCTGAGTGGTTAATCCATGGGTATCATATCATAATGATTATTATTTTTGTTTTGATTGCATTTTTTTTTCTTTTTTGAAACAGAGTCTCCTTCTGTCGCCCAGGCCGGAGTGCAGTGGCACAATCTCAGCTTCCTCCAACCTCTGCCTCCCAGGTTCAAGCGATTCTCCTGCCTCAGCCTCCCAAGTAGCTGAGATTACAGGCAGGCACCACCATGCCCAGTGTACTTTTTGTGTTGTTAGTAGAGATGGGGTTTCACCATGTTGGCCAGGCTGGTCTCAAACTCCCAACCTCAGGTGATCCACCTGCCTCGGCCTCCAAAAGTGCTAGGATTACAGGCATAAGCCACTGCGCCTGGCCTTAAAATATTTTAAAAAATATTCTCCTTGCATAATGAGGTTTAAAAAAATGAAGCGTTTCCTAATTCAGAATGATACAAGGGTGTCACCTGAGGCCCAAGATGGATTGCATGCGTTGGAAAGTTCTCCCTCACCTGGGACGCCCCAGATCCTTTCTTCACCAGCACCTTCTTCAGAGACACAAGAGAGGCTGAGCATGGTGGCTGACACCTATAATCCCTACATATTAGAACGCTGAGGTGGGAGAATCACTTGAAGCCAGGAGTTTGAGAGCAGCCTGGGCAACATAGCAAGACCCTATCTCTACAAAAAAAATTTTTTTTAATTAGCCCAGCATGGTGGCATGTATGTAGTCCTAGAAACTCAGGAGGCTGAGGCAGGAGGATTGCTTAAACCCAGGAGGTCAAGGCTGCAGTGAGGCAAGACTGCACACTGCACACTCCAACCCGGGCAACAAGATAACTTCTATACACGTAGATGAGGCAGTTCCGCCTCTTTGCCTAAAGATTGTGGGAAGTGTGCAACTGCAATGATAAAAAGGACACTCTATGTGACAGCAAGATAAAATTGGCTCTCAGTCAACTGTGAAAGGCATTGCATGGGTGACAGATGAGTGTTATTAACAGAACAGATTATTTGCTTCTTTCTATTTCTGCAAATTATTCTTGTTAACTACAATCTAAACTCGTCTGTTTCCATGTTGTTGAGGAAGTTCTCTGTGTAGCCAAAATAGACACAAAACACTGTTGAAAATTGCACAATTGCTCAAATTCCTTGAGTAAAACATTTGGTACTCTTGAAATCTTCAAACTAGAGTCAAAGCCTATATTGCCTTGCCCAAGGTAACTGGTGTATGCATATGTGTGTGTGTGTGTGTGTGTGTGTGTGCGCGCGTGCGCATGCAAGTGCCTGCATGCAGCAAACAAGTTACATTTATTTCTGTAAAAAAGTAAATAATACTGAAGTGTAGAGTTGATATGACAGCTTTCCTACCCCAGCCTTATCCCAGTCCTTTCCTTTATCAGAAATAAACACCGCTATTAATGAGACATGTTTTCTACTGGGCCATTTTCTATGCATATATAGGCATACCCACATATATTACCTTTAGTATTAAGGCTTTGATATCATGTTTGGTGTTCTACAACTTGCTTTTCTCTAATATGCAAAAGTTTGTATTTTTATTGATAAATTACTGTGAGACACACACAGTTCAAAATGTTGTGTATGGCCAGGCAAAGTGGCTAATACCTCTAATCCCAGCACTTTGGGATGCTGAGGCGGGTGGATCACTTGAGCCCAGGAGTTCGAGACTACCCTGGGCAACATAGCAAGATCCCATCTCTACAAAAAAATAAAAATTAGCCAAGCACAGTGGTGCACTCCTGTATTCCCAGCTACAGTCCCAGGAGGCTGAGGTAGGAGGATCATTTGAACCTGGGAGGTCAAGGCTGCAATGAGCCATGATAATGCCACTGCACTCTACTCTAGATGATAGAGCAAGTCCCTGTCTCAAAAAAAAAAAAAAAAAAAAAACACAGTGCATGTATTGCCCCATTTAATTCTCATTAACAGCCCTAGGAGGCACATAATACTATCTTTCCGATTTTACAAATGGGGAAGTGGAAACTTAGAGCGCTTTAGGCGGCTTCTCCAAGGTCTGACAGACAGGAAGTTTCAGAAACATGATTTGAATCCAGACAGGCCCTCAGTGGTTACCCCTGAGCTATGTTGCTCTATCTTGCCATGTCACCACATATAGGTCTTTCTAATTGTTTTAGGTGCTGTGTGGTTTTTCAATAGAACAGACCAATCATAGTTTACATAACCATTCTTCCATGCTAGACATTTGTGTTGTTTCCAGTGCTTTATGACTCATGCCTCTTCTTGTACACACCTCTTCATGCACATGGGCAAATATTTCTCTGGAATAGATACCTGAAATTGGAACCACTGTGTCATAGGGCATGCATACCTAAAGTATTGACATATACCACTAAGTTCTTTTCAGAAAGGGCTCTGCCAATTTTCAGTTCCACCAACAGTAGGTATACACATAGATGGTTGGTATTATTAGCGAGAATAACCATCCTCACAAACTCTGATTGCTAGTGATTTTTAAGGTATTTTCTAAAGTGATAAGCAAAAAAAATTTTTTTGGCAAAAAATATTTTATTAATGGTTGTGACCTCTATTTCCTTCGTTTTTAATGAGATTAAAATCTTTTCATATATTTATTGGACTTTTTTCTTCAACTTCTGTAAATTGCTGTTATCTTTTGTTCAATTTTCTATTGATTGTTTTTATTTTTCTTATTGACTTGTTTTATATATATGTATACACACACACACACACACGTATATGTATATAATGATTAAAATTCTTTTCCTGGCCAAGCATGGTGGCTCATGCCTGTAATCCTAGCACTTTGGGAGGTCAAGGTGGGCAGATTGCTGTAGCCCAGAAGTTTGAGCCTGGGCAACATAGCGAAAATCTGTCTCTACAAAAAATACAAATAATTAGTTGGGTGCGGTGGTGCGTGCACCTGTAGTCCCCGATACTTGGGGGGCTGAGGTTAGAGGATCACTTGAACCCAGGAGGTCAAGGCTGCAGTGAGCTGAGATAATAGCACTGCATTGCAGCCTGGGTGACAAAGTGAGACCCTGTCTCAAAATAAATAAATAAATAAAAATGTTTTCAGAAAAATAAAACTCTTTTTCTGCTCTGCACATTGTAAATACTTTTTCTCAGTTCATCTGCTGTTAAGTTCACTTTTGGTGTCTTTGACTCAAGAAATGTTTAATTCTCATGAAAACAAATTCAATGGTCTTTTTGGGGGGAGTTCAGGGGTTAAGTCTCACTCCCCACTTTTAGAAAAACCTTTGTTCCTTACAACAAAAGTAAATATATAATACATGTTTATTGTAGACAATATAGGCACTACAGATAAATGAAAAGTAAAAGTAAAAATCAAGTATAAACCTATCCCTCAGTTACAAAGATTATTAATATTTTGGGTATTTCCTACTAGTACTTTAAACATAAGAACAGATATAATTCAATATTATGTATATTTAAAAACAGATATGGCCGGGTGCGGTGGCTCACGCCTGTAATCCCAGCACTTTGGGAGGCCGAAGCGGGCGGATCACGAGGTCAGGAGATCGAGATCATCCTGGCTAACACAGGTGAAACCCCGTCTCTACTAAAAATATAAAAAATTAGCCGGGCGTAGTGGTGGGCGCCTGTAGTCCCCACTACTCTGGAGGCTGAGGCAGGAGAATGGCGGGAACCCGGGAGGCGGAGCTTGCAGTGAGCGGAGGTCGCGGCACTGCGCTCCAGCCTGGGTGACAGAGTTAGACTCCCTCTCAAAATAAAATAAAATAAAATATAAAATAAAATAAAATAAAATAATAAAATAAAATAATAAAATAAAATAATAAATAAAATAAAATAAAATAAAATAAAATAAAATAAAATAAAATAAAATAAAATAAAAACAGATCTGATATGATTAGGCTTTGTGTTCTCACCCAAATCTCATCTTGACTTGTAATCCCCAGGCGTTAACGGAGAGACCTGGTAGGAGGTGATTGGATTATGGGGGCAGTTCCCCCGTGCTGTTTTCATGATAGTGAGTTCTCATGCGATCTGACGGTTTTAAAGAGTAGTTTTTCCTGTGCTTACACGTGCTCTCTCCCTCTCCCCACACCCCCGGCCTCACCTGCTGCCACGTAAGACGGCTTGTTTCCCCTTCTGCCATGATTGTAAGTTTCCT